>NC_000017.11:3218383-3369898 GCF_000001405.40 Homo sapiens | reverse complement strand
CTGTGAAGCAGAGGTTGCAGTGAGCTGAGATTATGCCACTGCACTCCAGCCTGGGTGATAGAGCCAGAGCTTGCCTCAAAAAAAAAAAAAAAAGTACCAATCTAACGGAAACCATTCAAAAAGATAAAGAGGAAATCTTCCCTAAATCATTCTGTGAAGCCAGGATTACCCTAATACTAAAATCAGGAAAGGACATAACAAAAAAAGAAAATTACAGACCAATATCCTAGATGAACTTAGATGCAAAAATCCTCAACAAAATACTAGCTAACTGAATCCAACAGCATATCGAAAATATAATATACGAAGATCAAGTGGGTTTCATACCAGGGATGCAAGGATGGTTTAACATACATAAGTCAATAAATGAATACACCATGTAAACAATTAAAAACAAATCTTATGATCATCTCAATAGATGCAGAAAAAGCATTTGACAAAATCCAGCATCCTTTTATGATTAAAACCCTCAGCAAAATTAGCATAGAAGGGACATGGCTTAAGGTAATAAAAGCCATCTATCACAAACCCACAGCCAACATTATACTGAACGGGAAAAGTTGAAAGCCTTCCCCCTGAGAACTGGAACAAGACAAGGATGCCCACTTTCACCACTTCTATTCAACATAGTACTGAAAGTCCTAGCCAGAGCAATCAGACAAGAGAAAGAAATAAAGGGCATCTGAATTGGTAAAGAGGAAGTCAAGCTGTCACTGTTCACTGAAGATCTTATTGTATAACTAGAAAACCCTAAAGACTCATCCAAAAAGCTCCTAGATCTGATAAATGAATTAAGTAAACTTTCAGGATACATAATCAACGTCCACAAATCAGTAGCACTGCTATACACCAGCAGCAACCAAGCTGAGAATCAAATCAAGAACTCAACCCCTTTTACAACTGCTACAAAAAATATATGTATACTTAGAAATATAGCTAACCAAGGAGATGAAAGATCTCTACAAGGAAAACTACAAAACACTGCTGAAAGAAATATAGAGGACACAAAGAAACGGAAACATATCCCATGCTCATGAATGGGTAGAATCAATATTGTGAAAATGACCATACCACTAAAAGCAATCTACAAATTCATTGCAATGCTCACCAAAGTACCATCATTATTCTTCACAGAACTAGAAAAAACAATCCTAAAATTCAAAAGGAACCTAAAAAAGAGCCTGCATAGCCAAAGCAAGACTAAGCAAAAAGAACAAACCTGGAAGTATCACGTTACCCAACTTATAACTATACTACAAGGCTATAGTTTCCAAAACAACATGGTACTGATATAAAAACAGACACGTAGACCAATGGAACATAAAAGAGAACCCAGAAATAAGCTCAAATATTTACACCCAACTGATCTTTGACAAAGCAACGAAAAGCTAAAAGTGGGGAAAGGGCACCCTATTCAACAAATGGTGCTGGCATAATTGGCAAGCTACACGTAGAAGAATGAAACTGGATCCTCATCTCTCACTTAATACAAAAATCTACTCAAGATGGATCAAAGATTTAAGTCTAAGATTTGAAACCATAAAAATTCCAGAAGATAACATTGGAAAAACTCTTCTAGACATTGGCTTAGGGAAAGAATTTATGATCAAGAACCCAAAAGCAAATGCAATAAAAACAAAGATAAATAGATGGTATTTAATTAAACTAAAAAGCTTATGCACCGCGAAAGAAATAATCAGCAGAGTAAACAGATAACCCACAGAGTGGGAGAAAATCTTCACAAACTATGCATCTGATAAAGCACTAATATCCAGAATCTATAAGGAACTCAAACAAATCAGCAAGAAAAAAACAATTCCATCAAAAAGTGGGTTAAGGGCATGAATAGACAATTCTCAAAAGATATACAAATGGTCAGCAAACATAGGAAAAAATGCTCAACATCACTAATTATCAGGGAAATGCATATCAAAACCACAATGAAATACCAGCTTACTCCTGCTAGAATGGCCATAATTAAAAACTCAAAAAATAATAGATACTGGTGTGGATGTGGTGAAAAGGGAACACTGTTGGTGGGAGTGTAAACTGGTACAACCACTATGGAAAACAGTATGGAGATTCCTTAAAGAGCTAAAAGTAGAACTGCCATTTGAACCAGCAATCCCACTACTGGGTATCTACCCAGAGGAAAAGAAGTCATTATGTGAAAAAGATACTTGCACATGCATGTTTATAGCAGCACAATTCACAATTGCAAAAATATGGAACCAATCTAAGTGCCCATCAACCAACAGGTGGATAAAGAAAATGGCATATATATATATATATATATACACACACACACACATATACATATACACCATGGAATACTACTCAGCCATAAAAAGGAATGAAATAATGGCGTTTGCAGCAACCTGGATGGAGTTGGAGAGCATTATTCTAAGTGAAGTAAGTCAGGAGTGGAAAATCAAACATCATATGTTCTCACTCATAAGTGGGAGCTAAGCTATGAGGACGCAAAAGCATAAGAATGATATAATGAACTCTGGGGACTTGGGAGGGAAGGGTGGGAGGGGTATGAGGGATAAAAGATTACACATTGGGTACAGTGTTCACTGCTTGGTGATGGGTGGACCAAAATGTCGCAAATCACTACCGAATAACTTCTTCATGTAACCAAAAACCACCTTTTCTTCCCCAAAATCTATTGAAATAAAAACAACTGAGTCTGAGCTGTAAATTGCCAAAAGTCACAGAACTTGTAAATGGAAGATCCAGATCAAGTCTGAAGGTGTGGCCCTGATAGGTCATTGCTTCCCAAACTCTATTTTGTGAGCCAGTGGGACTGGCATTCATATTTCCTAGAGCCTTATCAATTATCTGGATAGTGGAAGAATCATGTGGCCCACTAATGTTCAGGACCAGTTGCAGAGGCTGATTAGCCTACACCAGTCTCAAGGTAATCTCACTCCCTGGCTTATAATTTGTCTCAGGGCCAGCATATGACCTGGTTCTGGCTAATGAGATGACAAGGAACATTGGCTGGGAGGGATTCCATTGGCAATGAAAGCACAAACACTGTATGCCTCTGGAGGGGTTTACTGGAGAAGAGATTGTCCACAATGGTTCTGCTGAGCTGGCTGCTCTGTTTCACCTGGAATTTCCCTCAGTACAGCACAGAGTACAAAGCCCAGAACACTGACCAGATTACATTTTCTCACAGACTCAAGAATATCTGCCATGAATGTTTTAGGGCATTTGTGTGTGTGTGAAAAACTGAGATGAAACAAATTGGAAAATCATAAATCTCCATAATAGGGGTAAGGTAGAGAGTATCGGATGTTCTTGGGGTTGTTAATCATACTTCTGTTTTTTCTGTTGCTGTTGCCCAGTGAAGCTTTTCACAAGAAACTGTAACAATTTTTAAAAACTCTTTGTGATTTCCAAGCTTTTGTGGCATCCAGGAACTGTGGTATGATAAATGACAAGCTGAATTTTCTGAAATATTTTCAGCCTTTGAGAGATTTCTTTTTAAAATTGCAACTAAAGATTTTCTGTTTCCCCAACATTTTTGCATCAAGCTAAAGGGTCAGTTCCCATGGCAGGGTCCCTGAGATTCTGGGATTAGCTAGGATGGGGCAGGTAGCTGGAACAACACAGATTAATATGAAAATGAGAATATCAGTATAGTGGCCACTCTATGTCCATTCTTCAACGTATAAATCTGCTATTATTTCCTTTTGGGGAACTACTTCACTCCTACTTGATCATCGTTTGGACAGTGAATCCAGTTGCTTTCCCTTTGCACATGTTAACTTGAAGAGATGGTTGAATAATCCTTCCATCAGACGTTTTCCGCTAACTAGTCCCTGGTATTTTGACTCTTGAGTGAACATACACAGGACTGAAGAAAGACTAGACATCATTCATTCTAGCAGTGGTGCCCAGGAGAGACATTCAAGGACTTCCTATTCTCAAGAACCTCTGTGGCTTCCTGAGTCCTGTGTGTTCAAAGCTGGCTCTTCAGTCTTCCCTTTGATGCTGTGATCTTCCTTCCCCAGGCATTTCCAAAAATTTTTCCTTTTTGCATAAGCAAGCTAGTTGATTTCTGTTGCATGCAATTAAAGAAATGATGGCAAAGACACGTTGTATTTTTCAGCTTCCTCTGCAGTTAGGTTGAGGCTGTGAATACAAGTGTTGTGTGTTACTTTTGGTCTGACTCAGCTAGGACCCCATGCAACTCCTCCATCCCTCTCTTCCCTGCTGCAGTAACCTCAAGGTGTTGGGTTCCAAGTTCAAGACGGTGGAGCCTCTGTCAATGTGGGTCCTTGACATGTGGGTATAGATCACTGTGACCATATGAGCACATGGCATGATTGAGAGACAAGCTGTGTTGTGTTAATCCACTGAGATTATGAAGTTAATTTGTTACCTCAGCATAGCCTCCATTATCCCAGCTGAAACAGAGCACTGATTGTAAGGGGCAAAAGGTGACAAACTCAGTGCTGTGGCTTCTGACACACATCCACTCATGAGACCATTTGTCTTTGCCTCAGTTTCTTTATTTCCTCAAACAACAACAAAAAGTAGTTTCCCCTGGAAGTCCTGGGTCACCAGATCAGATTATTTTTTCCTAATTTACTTCTGAGTTTTATGTTTATCTCTGTTGTATGCTTTGTGTAAGATCCCATCAATCTTATTTTCTGGTATACCCCCACATACCTAAGATACAGTCGGGAACTATGAATTTTTGTAGAGTGAATTGTTTTCCAGACTTCTCAAGGTGTTATAAGACTTTCATTCAATGGCCTGGTGAACTGTAGTGACACCATTTGGAGTTTGTTATGATCAAAGGAGCCATTGTCTTACTCAGCTCAGGGTTTGCTCTGGTCATCATTAGACCATTTCTTAGTTCTCATTGTTGCTGCTAACTTAAAAAAAGCATTCTCTATGTGTAATAATGGAATTATAATAGAATAATGTAACAGTGACCTGTAATTAATTGCTTTTTTTTTTTTACCTTAGTGCTTATATGTTCTGCTTATTGCTAAGTATTTAAAATGCACATATAATTTCCCCACTGATGGGCACTTTAGTTGATTCCATATCTTGGCTACTGTGAATAATGCTACAATGAACATGGGAGTGTAGACATCACTTTGACATGGTGATTTCACTTCCTTTGGCTATATACCCAGGAGTGAGATTGCTGGATCATATGGTAATTCTGGTTTTTAATTTCTGTTCCAAAATGGCTGTACTGGTTTATATTTCTACCAATAGCATACAAGGGTTCCTTTTTCTCCATATCCTTGCCAATGCTTGTCATCTTTTAACTTTTTGATAATAGCCATTCTAACATGAGTAAGGTGATATCTCATTGTGAACTCACTACAGTAGAGAGTAGAATGGTGGTGACCAGAGGCTGGGTGAGACGTGGACAGGGATGGGGGGCATTGGTCAAAAGGTACAAGATTTCAGTTAGGAGGAATAAGTTCTGGCAATCCATTGACCAGCATGGACCATAATTAATAATAGCATATTGTATGTTTCAAAATAGCTAAAAGAGAATTTTAAATGTTTTCATCACAAAGAAATGATAAATATTGGAAGTGAGATATGCTAACTAGCCTGATTTGATCATTCCATAATGTATACGTGTATCAAAACATATTATACCCCATAAATAGAATTATTATCTGTCAATTAAAAATACAATAAAACATAATAAAATATACATGTTAGGCTATCTGCTTCCTCTGTCACAATAATTTCAGGACCTTAGCTTTTAAAATTACTGATTCTAACACTTTGTCTGTAAATTCTTTTGTTTTCTACACATACATTTATATCATTTATAAGTTACTTTTTAAAAGCTTGTGATATGGTTTGGCTTTGTGTCCCCTCCCAAATCTCATGTCGAATTGGAGGAGAGGCCTGGTGGGAGGTGATTGGATCATGGGAGCAGATTTTCCCCTTGCTGTTCTCATGATATTGAGTGAGTTCTCATGAGATCTGATGGTTTAAAAATGTGTAGCACTTCCTCCTTCACTCTTTCTCTCTCTTTCTCCTGCCACCATGTTAACAAGGTGCTTGTTTCTGCTTCACCTTCTGTCATGATTGTAAGTTTCCTAAGGCCTCCCAGTCATGCTTTTTGCTAAGCCTGCAGAACTATGAGTCAACCAAACCTCTTCATAAATTACCCAGTCTCAAGTAGTTCTTTATAGCAGTGTGAAAATGAACTAATAGAGAAAATTGGTACCAGGGAAGTGGGCATTGCTATAAAGATATCTGAAAATGTGGAAGCAACTTTGGAACTGGGTAATGGGCAGAGGTTGGAATAGTTTGGAGGGCTCAGAAGAAGACAGGAAGATGTGAGACAGTTTAGAACTTCATAGAGACTTGTCGAATGATTGTGACCGAAATGCTGACAGTGATATGGACAGTGAAGTCCAGGCTGAGGTGGTCTCATATGGTGATGAGGAACTTATTGAAAACTGGAGTAAAGGTTACTCTTGCTATGCTTTAGTGAAGAAACTGGCAGCATGTTGCTCCTGCCCTAGAAATCTGTGGAACTTTGAACTTGAGACAGATCATTTAGAGTATCTGGCAGAAGAAATTTCAAAGCAGCAAAGCATTCAAGATGCGACCTAGCTGTTTCTAAAAGTGTATACTCATATGCATGAAGAAAGAAATAGAGCATAAAAGTTTGAAAAATTTGCAGCCTGACCATGAGGTAGAAAAGACAAACCCATTTTCTGGGGAGAAATTCAAGCCATCTGCAGAAATTTGCATATTTAATGGGGAGCCAAGACAATGGGGAAAATGTCTCCAGTGCATTTCAGAGATCTTCTTCACAGCCTCTCCTATCACAGGCCCAGAGGCCTAAGAGGGAAAAATGGTGTCATGGGCCAGGTCCAGGCCCCCACTGCTCTGTGCAGCCTTGGGACATGGCACCCTGCATCCCAGCTGCTGCAGCTCCAGCTGTGGCTAAAAGGGGCCAAGGTACAGCTCAGGCCATTGTTTCAGAGAGTGCAAACCCAAGCCTTGGCAGCTTCTCCATAGTGTTGGGCCTGTGGGTGCACAGAAGACAAGAGTTGAGGTTTGGGAACCTCTGCCTAGATTTCAGAGGATGTATGGAAACATCTGGATGTCCAGGTAGAAGTCTGCTGCAGGGGCTCAGCCATCACGGATAACCTCTGCTAGTGGAGTGCTGAGGGGAAATGTGGGGTTGGATCTGCTCCTGAATGACTACTGGGTACATAAGGAAATGAAGGCAGAAATAAAGATGTTCTTTGAAACCAACGAGAACAAAGACACAACGTACCAGAATCTGTGGTACACATTTAAAGCAGTGTGTAGAGGGAAATTTATAGCACTAAATGCCCACAAGAGAAAGCTGGAAAGATCTAAAATTGACACCCTAACATCACAATGAAAAGAACTAGAGAAGCAAGAGCAAACACATTCAAAAGCTAGCAGAAGGCAAGAAATAACTAAGATCAGAGCAGAACAGAAGGAGATAGAGACACAAAAAACCCTTCAAAACATCAGTGAATCCAGGAGCTGGTTTTTTTGAAAAGATGAACAAAATTGATAGACTGCTAGCAAGACTAATAAAGAAGAAAAGAGAGAATAATCAAATAGATGCCATAAAAAATGCTAAAGGGGATATCACCACCAATCCCACAGAAATACAAACTACTGTCAGAGAATACTATAAACATCTCTACGCAAATAAACTAGAAAATCTAGAAGAAATGGATAAATTCCTCAACACATACACCCTCCCAAGACTAAACCAGGAAGAAGTTGAATCTCTGAATAGACCAATAACAGGCTCTGAAATTGAGGCAATAATTTATAGCCTACCAACCAAAAAAAGTCCAGGACTAGACGGATTCACAGCCAAATTCTACCAGAGGTACAAGGAAGAGCTGGTACCATTCCTTCTGAAACTATTCCAATCAATAGAAAAAGAGGGAATCCACCCTAACTCATTTTATGAGGCCAGCATCATCCTGATACCAAAGCCGGGCAGAGACACAACAAAAAAAGAGAATTTTAGACCAATATCCCTGATGAACATCAATGCAAAAATCCTCAATAAAATACTGGCAAACCGAATCCAGCAGCACATCAAAAAGCGTATCCACCTCGATCAACTGGACTTCATCCCTGGGATGCAAGGCTGGTTCAACATACACAAATCAATAAATGTAATCCAGCATATAAACAGAACAAAAAACAAAAACCACATGATTATCTCAATAGATGCAGAAAAGGTCTTTGACAAAATTCAACAACCTTTCATGCTAAAAACTCTCAATAAATTAGGTATTGATGGGACGTATCTCAAAATAATAAGAGCTATCTATGACAAACCCACAGCCAATATCATACTGAATGGGCAAAAATCTGGAAGCATTCTCTTTGAAAACTGGCACAAGACAGGGATGCCCTCTCTCACCACTCCTATTCAACATAGTGTTGGAAGTTCTGGCCAGGGCAATCAGGTAAGAGAAAGAAATAAAGCACATTCAGTTAGGAAAAGAGGAAGTCAAATTGTCCCTGTTTGCAGATGACATGATTGTATATCTAGAAAACCCCATCATGTCAGCCCAAAATCTCCTTAAGCTGATAAGCAACTTCAGCAAAGTCTCAGGATACAAAATCAATGTACAAAAATCACAAGCATTCTTATACACCAACAACAGACAAACAGCCAAATCATGAGTGAACTCCCATTCACAATTGCTTCAAAGAGAATAAAATACCTAGGAATCCAACTTACAAAGGATGTGAAGGACCTCTTCAAGGAGAACTACAAACCACTGCTTAACGAAATAAAAGAGGACACAAACAAATGGAAGAACATTCCATGCTCATGGGTAGGAAGAATCAATATCGTGAAAATGGCCATACTGCCCAAGGTAATTTATAGATTCAATGCCATCCCCATCAAGCTACCAATGACTTTCTTCACAGAATTGGGAAAAACTACTTTAAAGTTCATATGGAGCCAAAAAGGAGCCCAGATCGCCAAGTTAATCCTAACCCAAAAGAACAAAGCTGGAGGCATCACGCTATCTGACTTCAAACTATACTACAAGGTTACAGTAACCAAAACAGCATGGTACTAGTACCAAAACAGAGATATAGACCAATGGAACAGAACAGAGCCCTCAGAAACAATACCACACATCTACAACTATCTGATCTTTGACAAACCTGAGAAAAACAAGCAATGGGGAAAGGATTCCCTATTTAACAAATGGTGCTGGGAAAACTGGCTAGCCATATGTAGAAAGCTGAAACTGGATCCCTTCTTTACACCTTATACGAAAATTAATTCAAGATGGATTAAAGATTTAAATGTTAGACCTAAAACCATAAAAACCCTAGAAGAAAACCTATGCAATACCATTCAGGACATAGGCATGGGCATGGACTTCATGTCTAAAACACCAAAAGCAATGGCAACAAAAGCCAAAATTGACAACTGGGATCTAATTAAACTAAAGAGCTTCTGCACAGCCAAAGAAACTACCATCAGGGTGAACAGGCAACCTACAGAATAGGAGAAAATTTTTGCAATCTACTCATCTGACAATGGGCTAATATCCAGAATCCACAAAGAACTCAAACAAATTTACAAGAAAAAAACAACCCCATCAAAAAGTGGGCGAAGGATATGAACAGACACTTCGCAAAAGAAGACATTTATGCAGCCAACAGACACATGAAAAAATGTTCATCATCACTGGCCATCAGAGAAATGCAAATTAAAACCACAATGAGATATCATGTCACACCAGTTAGAATGGCAATCATTAAAAAGTCAGGAAACAACAGGTGCTGGAGAGGATGTGGAGAAATAGGAACACTTTTACACTGTTGGTGGGACTGTAAACTAGTTCAACCATTGTGGAAGACAGTGTGGCAATTCCTCAGGGATCTAAAACTAGAAATACCATTTGATCCAGCCATCCCATTACTGGGTATATACCTGAAGGAATATAAATCATGCTGCTATAAAGACACATGCACACATATGTTTATTGCGGCACTACTCACAATAGCAAAGACTTTGAACCAACCCAAATGTCCAACAATGATAGACTGGATTAAGAAAATGTGGCACATACACACCATGGAATACTATGCAGCCATAAAAAAGGATGAGTTCATGTCCTTTGTAGGGACATGGATGAAGCTGGAAACCATCATTCTCAGCAAACTAGAGAGAAAGGGAAGGTTACCTACAAAGGGAACCCCATTAGGCTAACAGCAGACCTCTCAGCTAAAACCCTACAAGCCAGAAGAGATTGGGGACCTATAATCAACATTCTTAGAGAAAAATAATCTTCAACCAAGAATTTCATATCCAGCCAAACTAAGTTTCCTAAGTGAGGGAGAAATATGTTCCTTTTCAGATAAGCAAATATTGAGGGAATTCATCACCACCAGATCTGCCTTACAAGAGATCTTGAAATGAGCACTAAATATAGAAAGGAAAGACTACTGCCAGCTAATACAAAAACATACTTAAACACACAGACCAGTGTCACTGTAAAACAACCACACAAAGAAGCCAAGATAATAACCAGCTAACAGCACAATGACAGGATCAAATCCATACATATCAATACTGACCTTGAAGGTGAATGGGCTAAATGCCCCACTTCAAAGGCACAGAGTGGCAAGCTGGATAAAGCAAGATCCAGTAGTATTCTGCCTTCATGAGACCCATCTCACACAAAACAACACTCATAGGTTTGAAATAAAAGGATGGAGGAAAATCTACCCAGCAAATAGAAAAAAGGAAGCAGGGGTTGCAATCCTAATTTCAGACAAAACAGATTTAAAACCAACAAATATCAAAAAAGACAAAGAAGGACACTACACAATGGTAAAGGGTTCAATTCAACAAGAAGATCTGAATATCCTAAATATATATGCACACAACACAGGAGTACCCAGATTTATAAAGCAAGTTTTAAAGACCTACAAGGAGACATAGACTCTTGAACAATAATAAGGGGACTCTTCAACACTCCACTGACAGTATTAGACAGATCATCAAGGCAGAAAATTAACAATGATATTTAGGACCTAAACTCAACACTGGAACAAATAGAACTGATAGACTTCTATACAAAACTCTGCACCCCAAAACAATAGAATATACATTCTTCTTGTTGCCACATGGCACATACTCGAAAATTAACCACATAATTAGACATAAAATAATCCTCAACAAATGTAATAGAACCAAAACCATACCAAACATACTCTCAGACCACAGCACAATAAAAATAGAAGTCAAGATTATTAAAATCACTCAAAACCATGCAATTACATGGAAATTAAACAACATGCTCCTGAATGACTTTTGAATAAATAATAAAATTAAGGCAGAATTCAAGAACTGTCTTTGAAACTAATGAGAACAAAGATACAACATAGCAGAATTTCTGGGACACAGCTAAAGCAATGTTAAGAGGGAAATTCATAGCACTAAATGCCCACATCAAAAAGTTAAAAAGATATCAAATTAACAACATAACTTCACAAGTCAAAGATTAAAGAAGCAAGAACAAATCAACCCCAAAGCTAGCAGAAGATGAGAAATAACAAAAATCAGAACTGAACTGAGGGGAAATCAAGACACAAGAAAACCATGATTTATTTCTTAATTCTTTAATCAGATTCACCATTGAAACCTTCTAGGTCTGGGATTTTCTTTGTGAGAAAATTTTAAATTGCTAATTTAATTTTTTTAGTGGTTATATGATATAATTCAGCCCAGAGTGATGGAGTTCCACTGATGTCCTCCTAGGCCAATGAGCCTGCCAGTAGTACAGCTCAGCCTCTTCGAGACCTCGTCTGGATCAGAAAATGCTTCTAGGAAAAATTGGCTCCAAGTCCAGAGGCTTCAGTTATTAAGTGGCCTCTCTGAACCTGACCCCCACTCTGATCTCTGCCAGGCAAGGCCTCACTAGCCTATTAGGTTTCTGATGCTTTTATCAAAAAATTGTTTTTGTGGTAAAACATACATAACATAAAATACACCATTTTTCCCAGCAGTGGCAGCTCACATCTTTAATCCCAGCACTTCTGGAAGGCCAAGGCAGGAGGATTGCTTCAGGCCAGGAGTTTGAGACCAACCTGGGCATCATAGCAAGACCCTGTCTCTCTATAAAAAAAATTAAAAATTATATACACCATTTTAACCATTTTTAAGTGTACAGTTCACTGGCACTGATACATTCACAATGTTCTGCAGCCATCACCAGCATCTATCTCTGGACCTCTTTTTCATCCTCCCCAATTGAAACTCTGTACCCATTAAACAAAAACTCTCCTTCTCCTCTCCTCCCAGCCTCTGGCAACCACCATTCTACCTTGTCTCTTTGAGTTTGACTATTCTAGACACCTCACAAAAATGGAATTATACATTATATGTCTCTTTGTGTGCAGCTTATCCTTTGATGTTCTAAGATGTTCTTAATATTTCATCTGGCTTTTTATTTTCATGGGGAGGGTTGGTCTGCATTATGTACTTTGCCTTTACAGGAAACTGAAAGTCTCTGATTCTTGCACCAAGGATTAGGTGATAGAGCCCCAGACGACACTCATGAGATTCTGGGACCTTTGAGAAATCAGCTCTCACCTTATCCCTAGATAAGTGTTTTCAGGCTACTGAGGATGTGATGAAGCCCCATGGTTCCCAAATGCTGCTTCATGGACTAGCTGTATTAGTACCACCTATGCAAACAGGCAAGAATGTACAACTAAGTTTGGGAACTAGTGTGTTATATACATGACTGTAAACAAGATGTGGTGAAACAGTTGCACTCTTGAGCTGTTGTAGCAAGGGGAGAAGGGAAGATGTTCAAATAGGGATTAATTTTCACTTTGGTATTGTGGAAATAAACTGATAAGCTTCCAGTTCTTTGATTCAGGCTTAGTTAAAATTACACTTGAAATCATGGCCCTTAAGTTTCAATAGTACTTAATGAGAAACTTCTAGTGAAAAAAATTATTGACATGAGAAGTTTTAAACTCAGTACTTAGCCATGTTTTTTATTGTTTAGAAAGATGAGACAGTTGGAGAATGCTTATATATAGTTACTATAAACTTAAGAGCGTATTTATCTTGCATCTTGTCATCATAGAGTCTTTGTCTGTTAAGTGGGACAAAGAATTTTTCAGTTTCAATATTTGCCTCCCAAAGGCTATTGATTGGTGATCTGGATGCTAGGTTTGTCTGCTACTAATTACTACAATTGTTAGAGTATTTATGGTGGAAAATAGTGTCTAATCCTCAAAGTTATCTCATTATTATTATTGGTCTGTTTGTGTTTTGGATTTCTTCATGGTTTGATCTTGGTAGGTTGTATGTGTCTAGATTTTTGAATTTATTTGCATATGGTTGCTAAAATATCCTTCAAGCATGAAGGAAAATAAAGATCTTCTCAGACAAGCAAAAGATGAGAAATTTCATCAACATCAGACCTGTCCTACAAGAAATGCTAAATGGAAGTCTTCCCTCTGAAAGAAAAGGATGTTAATGAGCAAGGAAAAATTATCTGAAGGTACAAAACTGACTGGTAATAGTAAGTGCATGGAAAAACAGAATCTTAAAACACTATAACTGTGGTGTGTAAACTACTCAAATAGAAAGACTAAATGATGAACCAATAAAAAATAATAACTAAAACAACCTTTTAAACACAGTGCAATAAGACATAAAGAGAAACAACAAAAAATTACAAAGTGGGGGATGAAGTTTAGGTGTAGAATTTTTATTAGTTATTTCTTTTTGTGTGTTTGTTTGATTGTTTATGCACTCAGTGTTAAGCTGTCATCAGTTTAAAATAATGGGTTATGAGACAGTATTTGCTAGCCTCATGGTAATCTCAAATCAAAAAACATACAAGGGATATATAAAAAACAAAAACCAAGAGATTAAATGATATCACCAGAGCAAATAATCTTGACTAAAAACAAAAGACAGGAAGGAAGGAAAGAAGGAAGGAGGGAAGAAAAGACCATAAAGCAACCAGAAAACAAATAACAAAAAGGCAGGAGTAAGTCCCTACTTAATAATAACTTTGAATATAAATGAACTAAACTCTCCAACCAAAAGACAGAGTGGCTGAGTGGATGAATACATGAGACCCAGTGATCTCTTGCTTACAGTAAACACACTTCACCTATAAATATGCACACAGACTGAAAATAATAGATGGAAAAAGATTCCATGCCAATGAAAACCAAAAAAGAGCAGAAGTAGCTATACTTACATTAGACAAAATAGATGTCCAGACAAAAACTGCAAGAGAAAAAGAAGGGCATTATATAATGGTAAAGGGGTCAATTCAGCAACAGGATATAATGATTGCAAATATATATGTACGCAGCACTGTAGTACCCAGATATATAAAGCAAACATTATTAGAGCTAAAGAGAGAGAGAGAGAGAGAGAGAGAGAGAGAGAAATGCCAACATGATAATAGTGGGAGACTTCAATACCCCACTTTCAGTGCTGGACAGATCTTCCAGACAGACAATCAACAAAAAATGATAGGACTTAATCTTCACCATGGAACAAATAGACCTAATAGATATTTACAGAACATTTCATCCAAAGGCTGCAGAATACACATTCTTTTCCTCAGCACATGGATCATTCTCAATGATAGTCCATATATTAGGTCACAAAACAAATGATAAAACATTCAAAAAATTGAAATAATATCAAGCATCTTCTCTGACCACAATGGAATAAAAGTAGAAATCAATAATAAGAAGAATTTTGGAAACTATGTGAACTATATGGAACTATAATAAGAATAATTTTGGAACTATATGAACACATTAGACATTACACAGTACACTCCTGAATGACCAGTGGGCCAATAACAACATTGAGAAGGAATAAAAATTTATTGAAACAAATGATAATGCAAACACAACATACCAAAACCTATGGGATAGAGCAAAAGCAATACTAAGAGGGAAATTTATAGGTATAAATGCCTACCTCAAAACAGAAGAAAAACTTCAAATAAATAGCCTAATGATGCATCTTAAAGAACAAGAAAAGCAAGAGCAAACCTACCCCAAAATTAGTAAAAGAAGGGAGGTAATAAAGATCATCGCAGAAATAAGAGAATTTGAAATGAAGAAAATAATATAAAAGATCAGTGAAATAAAACATTGGTTTTGTGAAAAGATAAACAATATGGCCAAACCTTTAGCCAGACTAAGAAAAAAAGAGAGAAGACCAAATAAATAAAATCGGAGATGAAGAAAGACTCATTGCTACTGATACCACGGAACTTTGAAGGATCATTAGTGACTACTATTAGCAACCATATGCCAATAAATTCAAAAATCTAGACACATACAACCTACCAAGATCAAACCATAAAGAAATCCAAAATACAAATAGACCAATAATAATAATGAGATGAAAGTCATAATAAAAGGTCTCCTATAAATAAAAACCTTTACTTTTCTTTAGGTTGAGGCTACAGTGTACCATGATTATACCACTGCACTGCACACTGGGTGACAGAGCAAAACCTTTCTCAAAAAAGAGGAAAAGAAAAGCACAGGACGCAATGGCTTCACTGCTGAATTCTAGCAAATATTTAAAAACTAATACAAATCCTATTCAAACTGTTCCAAAAAATAGAGGAGGAGGAAATGTTACAAACATTCTTTGAGGCCAGTATTACTCTGATACCAAAAACAGACACAGACACATTAAAAACAACAACAACAACTACAGGCCAGTATCTCTGATGAATACTGGTGCAGAAATCTTCAACAAAATGCTAGCCAATCAAATTTAACAATACATTTAAAAAAATTACTCATCATAACTAAGTGAGATTTATCCCAGGGATGCAAAGATGGTGCAAAATGTGCAAATAAATCAATGTGATACCCTTCCCAGCATCTGATAACCATGGAGCTGGGAATGGTTAATGGGTACAAAAAAAAATGGATGAATAAGAACCACTATTTGATAGCACAGTGGGGTGACTATAGTCAATAATAACTTAATGGTATATTTTAAAATAACAATATAATTGGATTGTTTGTAACTTGAAACATAAGTGCTTGAGGTGATGGACACCCTATTTTCCATGATGTGCTTATTTCACTTTGCACGCCTGTATCAAAACAACTCATGTACCCTATAAATATATACCTATCATGTACCCACAAGAAATTTAAAATAATAAAATTTAAAAATCAATGTGATGCATCATATCAACAGAATGCCATATGAACAGTTCAATTGATGCTGAAAAATCATTTGATAAAATCCAACATCCCTTTATGATAAAAACCCTCAAAAACCTGGATATAGAAGGAGAATACCTCAACATAATGAAAGCCATGTATATGACAGATCCACAGCTATGAATAGTATCATACTGAATTAGGAAAAACTGAAAGCCTTTCCTCTAAGATCCAGAATACAGCGAGAATGTCCACTTTCACTATTGTTATTCAACATAGTACTGGAAGTCCTAGCTAGAACAGTTAGACAAGAGAAACATATAAAAGGACATCCAAATTGGAAAAGAAGAAGTCAGATTACCCCTGTTGATATGATTTTGTATTTGGGAAAACCTAAAGACTCTACCAATTAGAACTATTGGGCAAAGATTCAGGGAAAGCATTCTCTAATTCACTGTTGCTGAAACATAAATTGTTATGGCATTTTTGGAAAGCAACCTGGCAACACTTATTAAAATTAACCTAGATATACCCTTCAAAAAAAAAAAAAGAACTTATAAGCAAATTCAGTAAAGTTGCAGGATACAGCATCAACATAAAAAAAGTAGCATATCTATATGCTAACAGTGAACAATCTGAAAAGGAAATAAAAAATGTAATCCCCTATACAGTAGCCACAAATAAAAATACCTAGGAATTAACCCAAGAAAAAGATCTCTACAATGAAAAACTGTAAAACACTGATAAAAGAAATTGAACAGGACACCAGAAATGGAAAGATATTGCATGTTTATGGATTGGAAAAATCGATATTGGTAAAATGCCCATACTACCCAAAGTGACCTACAGATTCAATGCAATCCTTATCAAAATACCAATGACATTCTTCACAGAAATAGAAAAAAATCCTAAAATTTATATGAAATCACAAAAGACCCAGATTAGCCAAAGCTATCCTGAAGCAAAAAGAACAAAACTGGAAGAATTATGTTACCTTACTTCAAATTATACTACAGAGCTATAGTAACCAAAACAGCATGGTACTGGCATAGAAACAGACATATAAACCAATGGAACATAATAGAGAACTCAGAAACAAACACTCCTACAGTGAACTCATTTTTGACAAAGATGCAAGATATACACTGGGGAAAAGACAGTCTCTTTAACAAATGGTGTTGGGAAAACTGGATATCCATAGTCAGAAGAATAAAACTAGACCCCTGTCTCTCATCATAAATAAAAATCAAATCAAAATGGATTAAAGACTTAAATCGAAGACCTCAAACTATGAAACTACTAAAACAAAACATTGGGGTAACTCTTCAGGACATTGGTCTGTGCAAAAATGTTTTAAGTAATATTCCACAAGCAGAGGCAACCAAAGCAAAAATGGACAAATGAGATCACATCAAGTTAAAAAGCTTCTACACAGCAGAGGAAGCAATCAACAAAGTGAAGAGACAGCCCACAGAATGGGAGAAAATATTTGCAAACTACCCATCTGGCAAAGGATTAATAACCAGAATATATGAGGAGCTCAGCAACTCTATAGGAAAAAAATCTAATCCTGATTAAAAAATGGGCAAAAGATTAGAATAGATATTTCTCACAAGAAGACATACAATCCATCTTGAATTGATTTTTGTATAAGGTGTAAGGAAGGGATCCAGTTTCAGCTTTCTACATATGGCTAGCCAGTTTTCCCAGCACCATTTATTAAGTAGGGAATCCTTTCCCCATTGCTTGGTTTTCTCAGGTTTGTCAAAGATCAGATAGTTGTAGATATGCGGTGTTATTTCTGAGGGCTCTGTTCTGTTCCATTGATCTATATCTCTGTTTTGGTACCAGTACCATGCTGTCTTGGTTACTGTAGCCTTGCAGTATAGTTGGAAGTCAGGTAGTGTGATGCCTCCAGCTTTGTTCTTTTGGCTTAGGATTGACTTGGTGATGCGGGCTCTTTTTTGGTTCCATATGAACTTTAAAGTAGTTTTTTCCAATTCTGTGAAGAAAGTCATTGGTAGCTTGATGGGGATGGCATTGAATCTATAAATTACCTTGGGCAGTATGGCCATTTTCACGATATTGATTCTTCCTACCCATGAGCATGGAATGTTCTTCCATTTGTTTGTATCCTCTTTTATTTCCTTGAGCAGTGGTTTGTAGTTCTCCTTGAAGAGGTCCTTCACATCCCTTGTAAGTTGGATTCCTAGGTATTTTATTCTCTTTGAAGCAATTGTGAATGGGAGTTCACTCATGATTTGGCTCTCTGTTTGTCTGTTGTTGGTGTATAAGAATGCTTGTGATTTTTGTACATTGATTTTGTATCCTGAGACTTTGCTGAAGTTGCTTATCAGCTTAAGGAGATTTTGGGCTGACACAATGGGGTTTTCTAGATATACAATGATGTTGTCTGCAAACAGGGACAATTTGACTTCCTCTTTTCCTAATTGAATACCCTTTATTTCCTTCTCCTGCCTAATTGCCCTGGCCAGAACTTCCAACACTGTTGAATAGGAGTGGTGAGAGAGGGCATCCCTGTCTTGTGCCAGTTTTCAAAGGGAATGCTTCCAGCTTTTGCCCATTCAGTATGATATTGGCTGTGGGTTTGTCATAGATAGCTCTTATTATTTTGAAATACGTCCCACCAATACCTAATTTATTGAGAGTTTTTAGCATGAAAGGTTGTTGAATTTTGTCAAAGGCCTTTTCTGCATCTATTGAGATAATCATGTGGTTTTTGTCTTTGGTTCTGTTTATATGCTGGATTACATTTATTGATTTGCATATATTGAACCAGCCTTGCATCCCAGGGATGAAGCCCACTTGATCATGGTGGATAAGCTTTTTGATGTGCTGCTGGATTCGGTTTGCCAGTATTTTATTGAGGATTTTTGCATCAATGTTCATCAAGGATATTGGTCTAAAATTCTCTCTTTTGGTTGTGTCTCTGCCCGGCTTTGGTATCAGGATGATGCTGGCCTCATAAAATGAGTTAGGGAGGATTCCCTCTTTTTCTATTGATTGGAATAGTTTCAGAAGGAATGGTACCTGTTCCTCCTTGTACCTCTGGTAGAATTCGGCTGTGAATCCATCTGGTCCTGGACTCTTTTTGGTTGGTAAGCTATTGATTATTGCCACAATTTCAGCTCCCGTTATTGGTCTATTCAGAGATTCAACTTCTTCCTGGTTTAGTCTTGGGAGAGTGTATGTGTCGAGGAATTTATCCATTTCTTCTAGATTTTCTAGTTTATTTGCGTAGAGGTGTTTGTAGTATTCTCTGATGGTAGTTTGTATTTCTGTGGGATTGGTGGTGATATCCCCTTTATCATTTTTTATTGCATCTATTTGATTCTTATCTCTTTTTTTCTTTATTAGTCTTGCTAGCAGGCTATCAATTTTGTTGATCCTTTCAAAAAACCTGCTCCTGGATTCGTTAATTTTTTGAAGGGTTTTTTGTGTCTCTATTTCCTTCAGTTCTGCTCTGATTTTAGTTATTTCTTGCCTTCTGCTAGCTTTTGAAAGTGTTTGCTCTTGCTTTTCTAGTTCTTTTAATTGTGATGTTAGGGTGTCAATTTTGGATCTTTCCTGCTTTCTCTTGTGGGCATTTAGTGCTATAAATTTCCCTCTACACACTGCTTTGAATGTGTCCCAGAGATTCTGGTATGTTGTGTCTTTGTTCTCGTTGGTTTCAAAGAACATCTTTATTTCTGCCTTCATTTCATTATGTACCCAGTAGTCATTCAGGAGCAGGTTGTTCAGTTTCCATATGGTTGAGTGGTTTTGAGTGAGATTCTTAATCATGAGTTCTAGTTTGATTGCACTGTGGTCTGAGAGATAGTTTGTTATAATTTCTGTTCTTTTACATTTGCTGAGGAGTGCTTTACTTCCAAGTATGTGGTCAATTTTGGAATAGGTGTGGTGTGGTGCTGAAAAAAATGTATATTCTGTTGATTTGGGGTGGAGAGTTCTGTAGATGTCTATTAGGTCTGCTTGGTGCAGAGCTGAGTTCAATTCCTGGGTATCCTTGTTGACTTTCTGTCTCGTTGATCTGTCTGATGTTGACAGTGGGGTGTTAAAGTCTCCTATTATTAATGTGTGGGAGTCTAAGTCTCTTTGTAGATCACTCAGGACTTGCTGTATGAATTTGGGTGCTCCTGTATTGGGTGCATATATATTTAGGATAGTTAGCTCTTCTTGTTGAATTGATCCCTTTACCATTATGTAATGGCCTTCTTTGTCTCTTTTGATCTTTGTTGGTTTAAAGTCTGTTTTATCAGAGACTAGGATTGCAACCCCTGCCTTTTTTTGTTTTCCATTTGCTTGGTACATCTTCCTCCATCCTTTTATTTTGAGTCTATGTGTGTCTCTGCCCGTGAGATGGGTTTCCTGAATACAGCACACCGATGGGTCTTGACTCTTTATCCAATTTGCCAGTCTGTGTCTTTTAATTGGAGCATTTAGTCCATTTACATTTAAAGTTAATATTGTTATGTGTGAATTTGATCTTGTCATTATGATGTTAGCTGGTGATTTTGCACGTTAGTTGATGCGGTTTCTTCCTAGTCTCAATGGTCTTTACATTTTGGCATGATTTTGCAGCAGCTGGTACCGGTTGTTCCTTTCCATGTTTAGCACTTCCTTCAGGAACTCTTTTAGTGCAGGCCTGGTGGCGACAAAATCTCTCAGCATTTGCTTGTCTGTAAAGTATTTTATTTCTCCTTCACTTATGAAGCTTAGTTTGGCTGGATATGAAATTCTGGGTTGAAAATTCTTTTCCTTAAGAATGTTGAATATTGGCCCCCACTCTCTTCTGGCTGGTAGAGTTTCTGCCGAGAGATCTGCTGTTAATCTGATGGGCTTCCCTTTGTGGGTAACCCGACCTTTCTCTCTGGCTGCCCTTAACATTTTTTTCCTTCATTTCAACTTTGGTGAATCTGACAATTATGTATTTTGGAGTTGCTCTTCTCGAGGAGTATCTTTGTGGTGTTGTCTGTATTTCCTGAATCTGAATGTTGGCCTGCCTTGCTAGATTGGGGAAGTTCTCCTGGATAATATCCTGCAGAGTGTTTTCCAACTTGGTTCCATTCTCCCCGTCACTTTCAGGTACATCAGTGAGATGTAGATTTTGTCTTTTCACATAGTCCCATATTTCTTGGAGGCTTTGCTCGTTTCTTTTTATTCTTTTTTCTCTAAACTTCCCTTCTCGCTTCATTTCATTCATTTCATCTTCCATCACTGATACCCTTTCTTCCAGTTGATCGCATCGGCTCCTGAGGCTTCGTTAGATCTAAAACCATGAAAACCCTAGAAGAAAACCTAGGCATTACCATTCAGGACATAGGCATGGGCAAGGACTTCATGTCTAAAACACCAAAAGCAATGGCAACAAAAGCCAAAATGGATAAATGGGATCTAATTAAACTAAAGAGCTTCTGCACAGCAAAAGAAACTACCATCAGAGTGAACAGGCAACCTACAAAATGGGAGAAAATTTTCACAACCTACTCATCTGACAACGGGCTAATATCCAGAATCTACAATGAACTCAAACAAATTTACAAGAAAAAAACAAACAACCCCATCAAAAAGTGGGCAAAGGACGTGAACAGACACTTCTCAAAAGAAGACATTTATGCAGCCAAAAAACACATGAAAAAATGCTCACCATCACTGGCCATCAGAGAAATGCAAATCAAAACCACAATGAGATACCATTTCACACCAGTTAGAATGGCAATCATTAAAAAGTCAGGAAGCAATAGGTGCTGGAGAGGATGTGGAGAAATAGGAACACTTTTACACTGTTGGTGGGACTGTAATCTAGTTCAACCATTGTGGAAGTCAGTGTGACGATTCCTCAGGGATCTAGAACTAGACATAGTATTTGACCCAGCCATCCCATTACTGGGTATATACCCAAAGGACTATAAATCATGCTTCTATAAAGACACATGCACACGTATGTTTATTGCGGCATTATTCACAATAGCAAGGACTTGGAACCAACCCAAATGTCCAACAATGATAGACTGGATTAAGAAAATGTGGCAGATATACACCATGGAATACTATGCAGCCTTAAAAAATGATGAGTTCATGTCCTTTGTAGGGACATGGATGAAATTGGAAACCATCATTCTCAGTAAACTATTGCAAGAACAAAAAACCAAACACCGCATGTTCTCACTCATAGGTGGGAATTGAACTATGAGAACACATGGACACAGGAAGGGGAACATCACACTCTGGGGACTGTTGTGGGGCCGGGGGAGAGGGGAGGGATAGCATTGGGAGATATACCTAATGCTAGAAGATGAGTTAGTGGGTGCAGCGCACCAGAATGGCACATGTATACATATGTAACTAACCTGCATATTGTGCACATGTACCCTAAAACTTAAAGTATAATAATGATAAAAAAAAAAAGAAGACATACAAATGGCAAACAGACATATGAAAAGGTACTCAACATCATTGAGTTGTGGAGAAAAGGGAACCCTTATACACCATTGGTAGAAATGTAAATTAGTACAGCCACTATGGAGAACAGCTTGGAGGTTCCTCAATAAAGTAGAAATAGAGCTATCCTATGATCCAGCAGTCTCGCTGCTACGTATATATCAAAATGAAAGAAAATCAATATATCAAAGAGAGATCTGCTCTCCCATGTTCGTTGCAGCACTGTGCACAATAGCCAAGCTTTGGGAGGCAACCTAAGTGTCCATCAACAGACAAATGGATAAAGAAAATGTGGTGCATATACACAATGGAGTACTATTCAGCCATAAAAAATGAGAGTCAGTCATTTGCAAAAACATGGATGGAACTGGAGGTCCTTATATTGAGTGAATAAGCCAGGCACAGGAAGTCAAACATCATGTGTTCTCACTTATTTGTGGGATCTAAAAATCAAAACAATTGACCTCATAACCATAGTGAGTAGAAGAGCAGAGGCTGGGAAGGACAGTTGGGGGCTGAGATGGAGAGGTGCGGATGGATAATGGGTACAAAAAAAAAAACCATGGAAAGAGTGAATAAGAACTAGTATTTGATAGCACAGCAGAGTAACTATAATTAATAATGGTTTGTACATTTTGAAATAACTGAAATAGTATAATTGCTATAATTGGATTGTTTGTGACACAAAGGACAAATGCTGGAGGGGATGGCAAGGCGGCTGATAGGCTGATAGGCAAGGTGGCTGCTACTGCTGTTCCCATTACAGGCTCTTGGAAAACAGGGAACATTCCCTCCAGTTGGCTCAGCATGAGGCCTAGGATTCACTCTGGTTGGATCAACTTGGGTCAGATGCCCTTCCCATTTTTCAGGATGTAATTTGCACACATTGCCTGCCTATATCAAAATATCTCATGTACTTATAAATATGTACACCTACCATGTACCCATAAAAATTAAAAAGAAAATATAGTATATATACCACACAGAATGCTATTCAGCCTTAAAAAGTAAGAAGTCCTGTCATTTGTGACAACATGGATGCACATGGAGGACATTATGTTAAGTGAAATGTCCTGTCCTGGCAATTTTTTTTATTAGCTCTGTGGTGCCTTCAAAAATATATTTTAAAATATTTTGTCTAGCTTTTATAATTGTCCCCAGAGGAAGGTTTAGTACAAAACACCTAGCCTGCTGTTAGAAGAAGCAGAAATCCTTTCATTCATCCTTTGCATGTGAAAACTGACACGCCCCTTCTCCCCCATCCCCACTTTGGAAGCTTGTAGACTCTTCTGTCAGATCTTAGTGATCTGAAATTTCACAGTGATTGTCTTGGGGTGAATTTAGTTTTAATCCATTTTGTTTTGAATGTGGGTACTTTATTCAATTTTTGGAAAAATTTTAAAAAATATTACTCTGGTGCTCCCTCATCCCCATTTTCTTTGTTCTTTTTCTAGAGAATTTTTATTCTTCAGATGTTAAAACTTTGGGGCCTTTTTAAAAATTCATTTATCTCCTATTATCCATCAATTTTTCTTTTCTCTCTACTTTCTGGGAGACTTTCTCAACTTAAACTACAAGACTTCTGTTGATTTTAATGAATTTCTGTGATCACGTTTTTCATTTTCAAGAACTGTTTTTGTGATATTGTTTCTTTTTATGGGCTCTTCTTATTTTATTTCACTTTCTAAGGCTGCTTATTATAATTTTGTTGTTCTTCTGCCCTCTGTGTTGTTTCGTTTCTTATTTTGGTCTCTCTCTCTGTCTCTATCTCTCTCTCTCTCTCTCTTTCCTTTTTTTCTCTTGTTTTTGGTCTTGTACTCTCTCTGATGATTTTGGCTGTCTTCATTATTTAAGAAAAAGGTCCTAAAAACATGATTGGAAGTTCTCTGAAAGGGTGAGGCTTGTGGACCAATAGATGTGTCCGGATTATTTACTTGGTTGACCTCTATTAGTAGATGAATGTCTTTTCTCTTGTATTTGTTCCTCTTAGCTCCCTGAGAGATAAATCCTCTAATAATTTGCCTGTACCGACATCTTTCCTCTGAATTTATTGTCCTACCTACATCAGCATCGTGGTACCTTCCTTCCTTTCTTCATCAGATCCACCTCTCCACCTGTCTTCTGGATCTTATCTTCCCCTGCTTGCCTTTTAAAAAACAATCATTTTATTCTTCTTGGTTTCCTCTATCTCTTTAGCCCACTTGAGGATGAGGCCAACACAGAGAAAAGCAGTTCTAAGAGATGGAGCAAAAGTGAGTCCTAGAGACTTTGTTTGATCCTCCAGACTTGATAGGCAAGGTAGCTGCTACTGCTCTTCCCATTACAGGCTTTTGGGAGACAGGGAACATTCCCTCCAGTTGGCTCAGCATGAGGCCTAGGATTCACTTTGGTTGGATCAACTTGGGTCAGATGCCCTTCCCTAAAGCTATAACTGGAGGATTTGGTATACTGCTTGACCAGATCTTGGTGTGCAGCCCCACCCAAAGCTCATAAACTGAAGGAGATTTGAAGGCATAGTTCCTCAAAGTGATATTGGAGTGTGGTTATGTAGGTGGTTTGAGGGATTTGGGGAATGGTCAAGGAAAAGGATATGACTATAAGTGGCAGTAGTGCCTACAAACTTTATTAAGGGAAGTGGTCAGGTTTGCAGGCAAAGAAATCCCTTTCCTGGAGGAGGGCAAGAGAACTCCCAGAAGAGAAGGGAATCGGAGAGGGACTTTTGTGTCTAGATGATATTGTCTAGCTGTATGGTGGGGAATCTCTGGGTCAGAGTCTCCAAGGTACAGTAGTGGCCTGGAGTCTTACAACCACAAGGCTATCTTGTTTGTGGTTGGCAGATGCAGGGTGAATATTTACAGGACACGCAAAGCAGGAAGGTCTAAATTGCTGAAAATCTTCTTCTTCAGGGTATTTTTATTTAAAAATAATTAGATGTGTAAAAATTTGAATTTGGTGGAAGCAGGCTTTTTAGCTCACAAGTCTCAGCCAGCAGTGAAGAAATAAACCACCTAAGAGTCAATACACAGACATCATCTTTGGCTCATTTTTGTAACATGCCACCTAAAGAAGGGGCAATGCCACAGAGCCGAATATCCCACTGCATATGCACTGATGTGGCACTACAGCACTCCTGTATATCACTGAGTGGAAAAATCAAAACAAGGTGAATGACACTAAGATGTATTGCAAGCCATGGATTAGAATGAGAAAAACTTCCTAGACAAAGTAGAATCACAGACCCCTCCTTCTGCTTCTTTGATGACATAGGTTGTCCATGGTGATGGGACAGCATTTCAAGTGTTGGTTGGCATGAATCTAGGTTACTTGAACAAATAATGAGGCAAAGGGGGTGGGGGAGATGGAGTTATCTTCTGCCAAAGCATGTGGGCTACGTCAGGGAGGGGTGGAGGCTGGATGAAAACTAGACTACTGTTAAAAATGGGAGTAGGTTGATATGACACTAAGCAAGCTTTCATTGAATGAACACTCCTGTTCAATACAGTGCTGACAACTCCTGGGTGTACTCCCTCCAAACTTGTTCTTTTCCCCACTTCCCACCCAGAACTACTGAATTACTGAATTTGTGGCTTAGTTTTCTTCATGAAATGCTTTTTAAAGGTGGAAAGAAGTCATGGTTTCTAGTTTCTTTCTGTTTTCTAAAATGGATGCATGGCAGTAAGTGAAAGCAAGACGCAGCACATTAAAATCTCAGCATTCTCCAAAATGAGATATTGGATGGGGCATACTGAGTTTATGTTGGCCAGTGAGTCAATTTCTTATTGTGTTTGCATTAGAATTTCATATAAGTAGGTTCATTTCAAGATGGCTGAATAGGAACAGCTCTGGTCTACAGCTTCCAGCATGATCGACACAGAAGATGGGTGATTTCTGCTTTTCCAACTGAGGTACCTGGTTCATCTCATTGGAACTGGTTGGACAGTGGGAGCAGCCCACAGAGGGTGAGCCGAAGCAGGGCAGGGCATCGCCTCACCTGGGAAGTGCAAGGGGTCAGGGGATTTCCCTTTCCTAGACAAGGGAAGCCATGACAGACTGTACCGGGAAAATCGGGACACTGCAACCTAGATACTGCACTTTTCCAGAGGTCTTAGCAAATGGCACACCAGGAGATTATATCCCGTGCCTGGCTCAGTGAGTCCCATGCCCACGGAGCCTTGCTCACTGCTAGCGCAGCAGTCCAAGATCGAACTGCAAGGCGGCAAGCCTGGCTGGAGGAGGGGCGTCCACCATTGCTGAGGCTAGAGTAGGTAAACACAGCGGCCAGGAAGCCAACGAGGCCCGCCTGCCTCTGTGCACTCCACCTCTGGGGGCAGGGCATAGCTGAACAAAAGGCAGCAGAAACTTCTGCAGACTTAAACGTCCCTGTCTGACAGCTCTGAAGAGAGCAGTGGTTCTCCCATCATGGTGTTTGAGCTCTGAGAATGGACAGACTGCCTCGTCAAGTGGGTCCCTGACCCCCAGGTAGCCTAACTTGGAGACACCTCCCAGTAGGGCTGACTGACACCTCATACAGCCAGGTGGCCCTCTGAGACGAAGCTTCCAGAGGAAGGATCGGGCAGCAATATTTGCTGTTCTGCAATATTTGCCCTTCTGCAGCCTCCACTGGTGACACCCAGGCAAACGGTCTGGAGTGGACTTCCGGCAAACTCTAACAGACCTGCAGCTGAGGGACCTGACAGAAGGAAAACTAACAACAGAAAGGAATAGCATCAACATCAACAAAAAGGACATCCACACCAAAACCCCATCTGTAGGTCACCATCATCAAAGACCAGAGGTAGATAAAACCACAAAGATGGGGAGAAACCAGAGGAGAAAAGCTGAAAATTCTAAAAACCAGAGCTCCTCTTCTCCTCCAAAGGATTGCAGCTCCTCGCCAGCAACAGAACAAAGCTGGACAGAGAATGACTTTGACGAGTTGACAGAAGTAGGCTTCAGAAAGTCGGTAATAACAAACTTCTCTGAGCTAAAGGAGGGTGTTTGAACCCATTGCAAGGAAGCTAAAAACCTTGAAAAAAGATTAGACAAATGGCTAACTAGAATAAACAGTGTAGAGAAGACTTTAAATGACCTGATGGAGCTGAAAACCGTGACACAAGAACTACGTGACGCATGCACAAGCTTCAGTAGCCGATTTGATCAAGTGGAAGAAAGAGTATTAGTGATTGAAGATCAAATTAATGAAATAAAGCAAGAAGAGAAGTTTAGAGAAAAAAGAGTAAAAAGAAACGAACAAAGCCTTCAAGAAATATGGGACTATGTGAAAAGACAAAATCTACATTTGATTGGTGTACCTGAAAGTGATGTGGAAAATGGAACGAAGCTGGAAAACACTCTTCAAGATATTATCCAGGAGAACTTCCCCAACCTAGCAAGGCAGTCCAAAATTCAAATTCAGGAAATACAGAGAACACCACAAAGATACTCCTCCAGAAGAGCAACTCCAAGACACATAATTGTCAGATTCACCAAGGTTGAAATGAAAGAAAAAATGTTAAGGGCAGCCAGAGAGAAAGGTCGGGTTACCCACAAAGGGAAGCCCATCAGACTAACAGTGGATCTCTCAGCAGAAACTCTACAAGCCAGAAGAGAGTGGGGGCCAATATTCAACATTCTTAAAGAAAAGAATTTTCAACCCAGAATTTCATATCTAGCCAAACTAAGCTTCATAAGTGAAGGAGAAATAAAATCCTTTACAGACAAGCAAATGCTGAGAGATTTTGTCACCACCAGGCCTGCCTAACAAGAGCTCCTGAAGGAAACACTAAACGTGGAAAGGAAAAACCGGTACTAGCCACTGCAGAAACATGCCAAATTGTAAAGACCATCAATGCTAGGAAGAAACTGCATCAATTAACGGGCAAAATCACCAGCTAACATCATAATGACAGAATCAAATTCACACATAACATTAACCTTAAATGTAAATGAGCTAAATGCCCCAATTAAAGGACACAGACTGGCAAATTGAATAAAGAGTCAAGACCCATCAGTGTGCTGTATTCAGGTGACCCATCTCATGGGCAGAGACACACATGGGCTCAAAATAAAGGGATGGAGGAAGATCTACCAAGCAAATGGAAAGCAAAAAACAAGCAGGGGTTGCAATTCTAGTCTCTGATAAGACAGACTTTAAACCAACAAAGATCAAAAGAGACAAAGAAGGCCATTACATAATGGTAAAGGGATCAATTCAACAAGAAGAGCTAACTATCCTAAATATATATGCACCCAATACAGGAGCACCCAGATTCATAAAGCAAGTCCTGAGAGATCTACAAAGAGACTTAGACTCCCACACTTTAATAATGGGAGACTTTAACACCCCACTGTCAACATTAGACAGATCAACAAGACAGAAGGTTAACAAGGATATCCAGGAATTGAACTCAGCTCTGCACCAAATGGACCTAATAGACATCTACAGAACTCTCCCACCCCAAGTCAACAGAATATACATTCTTCTCAGCACCACATTGCACTTATTCCAAAATTGACCACATAGTTGGAAGTAAAGCACTCCTCAGCAAATGTAAAAGGACAGAAATCACAACAAACTCTCTGACCACAGTGCAATCAAATTAGAATTCAAGATTAAGAAACTCACTCAAAACCACACAAGTACATGGAAACTGAACAACCTGCTCCTGAATGACTACTGGATAAATCATGAAATGAAGGCAGAAATAAAGATGTTCTTTGAAACCAATGAGAACAAAGACACAACGTACCAGAATCTCTGGGACACATTTAAAGCAGTGTGTAAAGGGAAATTTATAGCACTAAGTGCCCACAAGAGAAAGCAGGAAAGATCTAAAATTGACACCCTAACATCACAATGAAAAGAACTAGAGAAGCAAGAGCAAACACATTCAAAAGCTAGCAGAAGGCAAGAAATAACTAAAATCAGAGCAGAACTGAAGGAGATAGAGACACAAAAAACCCTTCAAAAAAATCAGTGAATCCAGGAGCTGTTTTTTTGAAAAGATCAATAAAATTGATAGACCGCTAGCAAGACTAATAAGAAGAGAGAAGAATCAAATAGATGTAATAAAAAATAATAAAGGGGATATCACCACTGATCTCACAGAAATACAAACCACCATCAGAGAATACTATAAACACCTCTACACAAATGAACTACAAAATCTAGAAGAAATGGATAAATTTCTGGACACATACACCTTCCCAAGACTAAACCAGGAAGAAGTTGAATCTCTGAATAGACCAATAACAGGCTCTGAAATTGAGGCAATAATTAATAGCCTACCAACCAAAAAAAGTCCAGGACCAGACAGATTCACAGCTGAATTCTACCCGAAGTACAAAGAGGAGCTGGTACCATTCCTTCTGAAACTATTCCAATCAATAGAAAAAGAGGGAATCCACCCTAACTCATTTTATGAGGCCAGCATCATCCTGATTCCAAAGCCTGGTAGAGACACAACAAAAAAAGAATTTTAGACCAATATCCCTGATGAACATTGATGCAAAAATCCTCAATAAAATACTGGCAAACTGAATCCAGCAGCACATCAAAAAGCTTATCCACCAAGATCAAGTTGGCTTCATCCCTGGGATGCAAGGCTGGTTCAACATATGCAAGTCAATAAATGTAATCCATCACATAAACAGAATCAAAGACAAAAACCACATGATTTTCTCAATAGATGCAGAAAAGGCCTTTGACAAAATTCAACATCCTTTCATGCTAAAAACTCAATAAGCTAGGTACTGATGGAACGTATCTCAAAATAATAAGAGATAAGAGCTATTTATGATAAACCCACAGCCAGTATCATTCTGAATGGGCAAAAACTGGAAGTATTCCCTTTGAAAACTGGCACAAGACATGGATGCCCTCTCTCACCACTCCTATTGAACATAGTGTTGAAAGTTCTTTGCTAGGGCAGTCAGGCAGGAGAAAGAAATAAAGTGTATTCAATTGGGAAAAGAGGAAGTAAAAGTCTTCCTGTTTGCAGAGGACATGATTATATATTTAGAAAACCCCTTCATCTCAGCCCAAAATCTCCTTAAGCTGATAAGCAACTTCAGCAAAGTCTCAGGATACAAAATCAATGTGCAAAAATCATAAGCATTCTTATACACCAATAACAGACAAACAGAGAGCCAAATCATAAGTGAACTCCAAATCACAACTGCTACAAAGAGGATCAAATACCTAGGAATCCAACTTACAAAGGTTGTGAAGGACCTCTTCAAGGAGAGCTACAAACCACTGCTCAACAAAATAAAAGAGGACAGAAGCAAATGGAAGAACATTCCATGCTCATGGATAGGAAGAATCAATATTGTGAAAATGGCCATACTGTCCAAGGTAATCTACAGATTCAATGCCCCTATCAGCTACCAATGACTTTCTTCACAGAATTGGAAAAAACTACTTTAAAGTTCATATGGAACCAAAAAAGAGCCTGCATTGCCAAGAGAATCCTAAGCAAAAGGAACAAACCTGGAAGCATCATGCTACCTGACTTCAAACTATACTACACGGCTGCAGTAACCAAAACAGCATGGTACTGGTACCAAAACAAAGATATGGACCAATGGAACACAACAGAGGCCCAGAAATAACACCACACGTCTACAACCATCTGATCTTTGATAAACCTGACAAAAACAGGAAATGGGGAAAGGATTCCCTATTTAATAAATGGTGCTGAGAAAACTGGCTAGCCATATGTAGAAAGCTGAAACTGGATCCCTTCCTTACACTTTATACAAAAATTAATTCAAGATGGATTAAAGACTTAAATATTAGGCCTAAAACCATAAAAACCCTAGAAGAAAACCTAGGCAATAGCATTCAAGATATAGGCATGGGCAAGGACTTCATGACTGAAACACCAAAAGCAATGGCAACAAAAGCCAAAATAGACAAATGGGATCTAATTAAACTGAAGAGCTTCTGCACAGCAAAAGAAACTACCATCAGAGTGAACAGGCAACCTACAGAATGGGAGAAAATTTTTGCAATCTACCCATCTGACAAAGGGCTAATGTCCAGAATCTACAAAGAACTTAAACAAAGTTACAAGAAAAAAATTAACCCCATCAAAAAGTGGGCAAAGCATATGAATGGACACTTTTCAAAAGAAGACATTTATGCAGCCAACAGCACGTGAAAAAATGTTCATCATCACTGGCCATCAGAGAAATGCAAATCAAAACCACAATGAGATACCATCTCACACCAGTTAGAATGGCGATCATTAAAAAGTTAGGAAACAACAGGCGCTGGAAAGGATGTGGAGAAATAGGAACACTTTTACACTGTTGGTGGGACTGTAAACTAGTTCAACCATTGTGGAAGACAGTATGGCGATTCCTCAAGGATCTAGAACTAGAAATACCATTTGACCCAGCCATCCCATTACTGGGTATATACCCCAAGGACTATAAATCATGCTGCTATAAAGACACATGCACACGTATGTTTATTGTGGCACTATTCACAATACCAAAGACTTGGAACCAACCCAAATGTCCATCAGTGATAGACTGGATTAAGAAAATGTGGCACATTTACACCATGGAATACTATGCAGCCATAAAAAATGATGAGTTCATGTCCTTTGTAAGGACATGGATGAAGCTGGAAACCGTCATTCTCAGTAAACTATCGCAAGGACAGAAAACCAAGCACTACATGTTCTCACTCATATGTGAGAAATGAACAATGAGAACACTTGGACACAGGGCGGGGAACATCACACACCGGGGCCTCTCGTGGGGTTGGGGGATGGGGGAGGGATGACATTAGGAGATATACCTAATGTAAATGATGAGTTAATGGGTGCAGCAAACCAACATGGCACATGTATACATATATAACAAACCTGCACGTTGTGCACATGTACCCTAGAACTTAAAGTACAATAATAATTTTAAAAAGTGCACATGAAGAAGTTCTGGAGAACGATAGTAGTGAGGTTGCACAAAAAAGTGAATATACTTAATCCTACTGAACTGTACCCTTAAAATGGTTAAATGATACATTTTATGTTATGCATATTTTACTAAAATAAAAAATGAAGGTTAAATAAAAAGAATTTCATATAAGGAAGTGTGGGCCTTGCTTCCTGGGACCTGAATGTCCATTTTGGGTTTGGAAGCAGAAAGAGGTATGAAATTAGACACAGATATCGGAACCCATGTGCATAGCTCACCTAGGGTGAATCTTTTGTTTTCTGTGTAATTATCTTCCATAAGATGGAGAACACAGTCAAAGGGGTGGAAGAACTGGTCTTTCTGAAGAGGAGCTAAATTGGGGTTAGGTAGGAGTGAGGAGGGATGCAGCGTTTGTTTACTCAGAAAACATTAATTGATGGTGATCATGTGTGCTGGGTTCTGAGGAAGTTTTTTTAAAAAATGATACCCAATTTCTTGATTTTGTGGAGAAGTCTGTCTAGTCTAGAGGGGAAAGAGTTAAGAGGACATCTCAGGTATGAGCGCAGCTAAAGTATGGTGTCTGGCAACCCAGACAGTGTAAGATTTGGATACATCTTCAAATTGATATTCTTTATACATTTATTCAAATATTTATTGTAGAGCATGAAGTAGATTTTCAATTAATAATTGCACATCTCTCTTGGTTGGCTACCATTAATGGATTTAGTAGTTACACTGAACATAACATCTAAGTTTATTTGAAATTCTTTTATTTAATGTTTTTTCCACTATTTGTATCTATCATTAGTTACACTTCTTACACATAAAGTTTATATAAATATAGTTCTAAAATTTTGTCAAAATATGTATGAAAATTATTGTTTTCCTGGCATTCACATCAGCAAAACACTTTCCATTTATCCTGTCTTCAGTTTTCTTTTGTGATTTTTTAAACCAGATAACTTTTCAAGGTACAGATTAAAATGTTTAAAATTTAGACAATAGGGAAAAAATGAATTATCATCACTGAAAAGCACTGTACTGTGAGTTGTTCAGTTTTAGAATTTTAGCCTACATCACCTGTTGTATTTGGATGACTAGTGAATGCTTGGCTGATGGCAGGGCTGATGACCTGTCATTATTTCCACAGACATGCCACAAAATGTTGAATGAAGATAGGCAGCGTTGGCAAGGAGAGTTTCTGAAACTTCCACTGGAGGGCTCTGCGTGTTCCGGCAGGAATGGTTTGTAAGTTTGCATTTGCCAGTTATGAAAGGAGTTGCGTGAGTAAATCAGAGTGGAAATGTTGCAGTGACATTTTAGCACTTGTTATGTGTTGGCACCTTGTCAGTTGTTTGGCTGATCTGACCCTGAATCCAAATTAGGAGGTGGTAGGAGGTATGCATGGGCACTAAGTAAGAAAAATTGGATTGAGAGAAGCCAGGTGGTGTATTCTTAAACAAACTGGGAAAAAGAATGAAGACAAAGCTGGAATGTGTTCTCTGTCAGACTTTTTCTTCCTGGGGCTTTCTTCATCTATAAAATGAAAATTCTAACATTTGCCTCATGGGACTTTTGTTCGAAGAGTTAAATGAGATAATGTATGTAAAGTGTAGTCTCTGGCTGGTGTCTAAATGACTGGAAATGTGTGGGGGTGATTGTTATTGTGTAACAATTTGAGCCATAGTGATTTAGGAATAGAAAATTGATGGAATGGAAGATGCAGATCAGAAACACATTTTTAAACTTAAAATAATTTAATATATGCATAAATTAAATACCACAAATCAGTAGGGGTGGGGCAGGGAGTGAAATACTCAATACATAGTGTTGAGGTAATTGATTATTCATTGGAAAAATCCCTCTTGGATACATATATTTATAAAATGTATCAAAAGAAAGGCTAGATTAATATTCCAGGCATACAAGAAAAGGAAGAAGGCACAAAGAAATATCAACAGATTTGACTGCATAAACATTTTTTAAAATTTATGGAAAAGTTAACCAAGTTAAAAGGCAAAAAACAGACTTGGAGAAATATTTGCAGAAAATATGAAAAGGTTAATATTTTTACCATGTAAAGATCTAAGAAATGCATATGAAAACACTGAGATACTGGTGAATACATAAGCCAAGAACATAAAGGCAATTTACAAACAGACAAATGAAAACATATTTAACAGATAAGAGATAATGGCTTCACTCATAAGCAGAAAAGGCAAAGTAAAGTTATACTTTTGCCTCTCAAATTAGCAATGAATAAAACTAGTTAGTACTTGTGATGTTACAGTGAAATGGACACAGTGATTTCTAATGGAGACAAACTGTCACCTTCCTGTTGAAGAGTTTAGCAATATGTATAAGAACCCTAAAATATTCATCTCATATTAAAATATTCACTTCACAATAGTTAAAAAACTTACTACATATTTAGAATTAGACTTATTAAAAAGGCAGAAACTCTAATTTTTAAAAGCCTATGACACTCTTCTCTAGAAATAACACTTGAATAAATGGATAGATGATTGTATGCCTCTATATGGAAAGATCTAATATTGTAAGGCTGTCAATTCTTCTGAAATCAATCTATAAATTTAACCCAGTTCTGCTTAAAATCCCAATGGTAGAAAAACTCAATCAGCAAAAATAATTCTATAGTCAACCTGGAAGAGAAAACATGTGAGAGCAGTCAAAAACATTTGGGAGGAAAGAGAGTAATGACGGAAATTTCCAGAATGAGGCATGAATATGTATTGTAAATCTACAGTGATGGAATATTATTCAGCCATATAGAAGAACGAAATTCTGTCATTTGCAGCAACATGATGGAACTGGGGGTCATTATGTTAGGTGAAATTAGCCAAGCAAAGAAAGACAAATGTTGCATGTTCTCACTCATATGTGGAAGCTAATAATAGTGTTTTTCATGACGATAGTAGAATAGTGGTTACCAGAGGCCAGGAATGGTAGGTGGAAGGCAGGGGATGAAGAGAAAACAAAAGAATATAAATGTTACCACTGAATTGTACACTTAAAAATAGTAAAGATGGTATTTCTGCTTCTAGATCTCTGAGGAATCGCCATACTGTCTTCCACAGTAGTTGAACTAATTTACACTCCCACTAACAATGTAAAAGCGCTCCTTTTTCTCTGCAACCTCGCCAGCATCTGTTGTTTCTTGACTTTTTAGTAATTGCCATTCTGACTGGTGTGAGATGATATCTTAATTGTGGTTTTGATTTACATTTCTCTAATGATCAGTGATGTTGAGCTTTTTTTCATATGTTTTTGGCGGCATGAATGTCTTCTTTTGAGAAGTGTCTGTTCATGTCCTTTGCCCACTTTTTGATGGGGTTGGTTGTTTTTTTCTTGTAAATTTGTTTAAGTTCCTTGTAGACTCTGGATATTAGACCTTTTTCAGATGGATAGACTGGAAAATTTTTCTCCCATTCTGTAGGTTGTCTGTTCACTCTGATGATAGTTTATCTTGCTGTGCAGAAGCTCTTTAGTTTAATTGCCTCCCTTTTGTCAATTTTTTCTTTTGTTGCAATTGCTTTTGGCATTTTTGTCATAAAATCTTTTATTGGGGGAACATGCCCCCAATATTTCAATGCAGGTTCTTTCTATTTTCCCTAAGTGTTGGCCAGTCTGAGAAATAAAGAGAAAGAGTACAAAGAGAGGAATTTTACAGCTGGGCCTCCGAGGGTGACATCACATATTGGCAGGTCCGTGATGTCCACCTGAGCTGCAAAACCAGCAAGTTTTTATTAAGGATTTCAAAAGGGGAGGGGATGTACGAACAGGGAGTAGGTCACAAAGATCACATGTTTCTGAGGCCAATAAAGATCACAAGGCAAAGGGCAAAGCAAAGATCACAAGGCAAAGGCAAAATTAGAATTACTGATGAGGGTCTATGTTCAGCTGTGCACATATTGTTTTGATAAACACCTTAACAGAAAACAGGGTTTGAGAGCAGAGAACTGGTCTGACCAAAATTTACCAGGCTGGAATTTCCCAATCCTAGTAAGCCTGAGGTAGTACTACAGGAGACCAGGGCGTATTTCAGTCCTTATCTCAACTGCATAAGACAGATGCTCCCAGAGCGGCAATTTATAGACCTCCACCCAGGAATGCAATTATTTTGCTAGGGTCTTAATATTTAATATTCCTTGCTAGGAGAAGAATTTAGCAATATCTCTCCTACTTGCACGTCCATTTATAGGCTCTCTGCAAGAAGAAAAATATGGCTCTATTCTGCCCAATCCTGCAGGCAGTCAGATCTTATGGTTGTCTTCCCTTGTTCCTTAAAATCGCTGTTATTCTGTTCTTTTCAAGGTGCACTCATTTCATATTGTTCAAACACACGTTTTACAATCAGTTTGTACAATAGTGGTCCTGAGGTGACGTACATTCTCTGCTTACAAAGATAACAGAGTTAAGAGATTAAAGACAGGCATAAGAAATTATAAGAGTATTATTTGGGAACTGATAAATGTCCATGAAATCTTCACAATTTATGTTCGGAGATTGCAGTAAAGACAGGCATAAGAGGGGAGGAGCCAAGATGGCCGAATAGGAACAGCTCTGGTCTACAGCTCCCAGCGTGAGCGACGCAGAAGACGGGTGATTTCTGCATTTCCATCTGAGGTACCAGGTTCATCTCACTAGGGAGTGCCAGACAGTGGGCGCAGGTCAGTGGGTGTGCACACCGTGCGCCAGCTGAAGCAGGGCGAGGCATTGCCTCACTTGGGAAGTGCAAGGGGTCAGGGAGTTCCCTTTCTGAGTCAAAGAAAGGGGTGACGGACGCACCTGGAAAATCAGGTCACTCCCACCCGAATATTGCGCTTTTCGGACTGCAGCACACCATGAGATTATATCCTGCACCTGGCTCGGAGGGTCCTACGCCCACGGAGTCTCGCTGATTGCTAGCACAGCAGTCTGAGATCAAACTGCAAGGCGGCAGCGAGGCTGGGGGAGGGGCGCCCGCCATTGCCCAGGCTTGCTTAGGTAAACAAAGCAGCCGCGAAGCTCGAACTGGGTGGAGCCCACCACAGCTCAAGGAGGCCTGCCTGCCTCTGTAGGCTCCACCTCTGGGGGCAGGGCACAGACAAAAAGTCAGCAGTAACCTCTGCAGACTTAAATGTCCCTGTCTGACAGCTTTGAAGAGAGCTGTGGTTCTCCCAGCACACAGCTGGAGATCTGAGAATGGGCAGACTGCCTCCTCAAGTGGGTCCCTGACCCCTGACCCCCGAGCAGCCTAACTGGGAGGCACCCCCCAGCAGGGGCACACTGACATCTCACACGGCAGGGTATTCCAACAGACCTGCAGCTGAGGGTCCTGTCTGTTAGAAGGAAAACTAACAAACAGAAAGGACATCCACACCAAAAACCCATCTGTACATCACCATCATCAAAGACAAAAAGTAGATAAAACCACAAAGATGGGGAAAAAACAGAACAGAAAAACTGGAAACTCTAAAATGCAGAGCGCCTCTCCTCCTCCAAAGGAATGCAGTTCCTCACCAGCAATGGAACAAAGCTGGATGGAGAATGACTTTGACGAGCTGAGAGAAGAAGGCTTCAGACTATCAAATTACTCTGAGCTACGGGAGGACATTCAAACCAAAGGCAAAGAAGTTGAAAACTTTGAAAGAAATTTAGAAGAATGTATAAGTAGAATAACCAATACAGAGAAGTGCTTAAAGGAGCTGATGGAGCTGAAAACCAAGGCTCGAGAACTACGTGAAGAATGCAGAAGCCTCAGGAGCCGATGCGATCAACTGGAAGAAAGGGTATCAGCGATGGAAGATGAAATGAATGAAATGAAGTGAGAAGGGAAGTTTAGAGAAAAAAGAATAAAAAGAAATGAGCAAAGCCTCCAAGAAATATGGGACTATGTGAAAAGACCAAATCTACGTCGGATTGGTGTACCTGAAAGTGATGGGGAGAATGGAACCAAGTTGGAAAACACTCTGCAGGATGTTATCCAGGAGAACTTCCCCAATCTAGCAAGGCAGGCCAACGTTCAGATTCAGGAAATACAGAGAACGCCACAAAGTTACTCCTTGAGAAGAGCAACTCCAAGACACATAATTGTCAGATTCACCGAAGTTGAACAATGAAGGAAAAAATGTTAAGGGCAGCCAGAGAGAAAGGTCGGGTTACCCTCAAAGGGAAGCCCATCAGACTAACAGCTGATCTCTCGGCAGAAACCCTACAAGCCAGAAGAGAGTGGGGGCCAATAGTCAACATTCTTAAAGAAAAGAATTTTCAACCCAGAATTTCATATCCAGCCAAACTAAGCTTCATAAGTGAAGGAGAAATAAAATCCTTTACAGACAAGCAAATGCTGAGAGATTTTGTCACCACCAGGCCTGCCCTAAAAGAGCTCCTGAAGGAAGTGCTAAACATGGAAAGGAACAACCGGTACCAGCTGCTGCAAAATCATGCCAAAATTTAAAGACCATCGAGAATAGGAAGAAACTGCATCAACTAACAAGCAAAATCACCAGCTAACATCATAATGACAGGATCAAATTCACACATAACAATATTAACTGTAAATGTAAATGGACTAAATGCTCCAATTAAAAGACACAGACTGGCAAATTGGATAAAGAGTCAAGACCCATCAGTGTGCTGTATTCAGGAAACCCATCTCACGTGTAGAGACACACATAGGCTCAAAATAAAAGGATGGAGAAAGATCTACCAAGCAAATGGAAAACAAAAAAAAGGCAGGGGTTGCAATCCTAGTCTCTGATAAATCAGACTTTAAACCAACAAAATCAAAAGAGACAAAGAAGGCCATTACATAATGGTAAAGGGATCAATTCAACAAGAAGAGCTAACTATCCTAAATATATATGTACCCAATACAGGAGCACCCAGATTCATAAAGCAAGTCCTGAGTGACCTACAAAGAGACTTAGACTCCCACACTTTAATAATGGGAGACTTTAACACCCCATTGTCAACATTAGACAGATCAACGAGACAGAAAGTCAACAAGGATACCCAGGAATTGAACTCAGCTCTGCACCAAGCCAACCTAATAGACATCTACAGAACTCTCCACCCCAAATCAACAGAATATACATTTTTTTCAGCACCACACCACACCTATTCCAAAATTGACCACATACTTGGAAGTAAAGCTCTCCTCAGCAAATGTAAAAGAACAGAGATTATAACAAACTATCTCTCAGACAACAGTGCAATCAAGCTAGAACTCAGGATTAAGAATCTCACTCAAAACCGCTCAACTACATGGAAACTGAACAACCTGCTCCTGAATGACTACTGGATACATAACGAAATGAAGGCAGAAATAAAGATGTTCTTTGAAACCAACGAGAACAAAGACACAACATACCAGAATCTCTGGGACACATTCAAAGCAGTGTGTAGAGGGAAATTTATAGCACTAAATGCCCACAAGAGAAAGCAGGAAAGATCCAAAATTGACACCCTAACATCACAATTAAAAGAACTAGAAAAGCAAGAGCAAACACATTCAAAAGCTAGCAGAAGGCAAGAAATAACTAAAATCAGAGCAGAACTGAAGGAAATAGAGACACAAAAAACCCTTCAAAAAATTAACGAATCCAGGAGCTGGTTTTTTGAAAGGATCAACAAAATTGATAGACCGCTAGCAAGACTAATAAAGAAAAAAAGAGAGAAGAATCAAATAGACGCAATAAAAAATGATAAAGGGGATATCACCACCGATCCCACAGAAATACAAACTACCATCAGAGAATAGTACAAACACCTCTACACAAATAAACTAGAAAATCTAGAAGAAATGGATAAATTCCTCGACACATACACTCTCCCAAGACTAAACCAGGAAGAAGTTGAATCTCTGAATAGACCAATAACGGGAGCTGAAATTGTGGCAATAATCAATAGTTTACCAACCAAAAAGAGTCCAGGACCAGATGGATTCACAGCCAAATTCTACCAGAGGTACAAGGAGGAACAGGTACCATTCCTTCTGAAACTATTCCAATCAACAGAAAAAGAGGGAATCCTCCCTAACTCATTTTATGAGGCCAGCATCATTCTGATACCAAAGCCGGGCAGAGTCACAACCAAAAAAGAGAATTTTAGACCAATATCCTTGATGAACATTGATGCAAAAATCCTCAATAAAATACTGGCAAACTGAATCCAGCAGCACATCAAAAAGCATATCCACCATGATCAAGTGGGCTTCATCCCTGGGATGCAAGGCTGGTTCAATATACGCAAATCAATAAATGTAATCCAGCATATAAACAGAGCCAAAGACAAAAACCACATGATTATCTCAATAGATGCAGAAAAGGCCTTTGACAAAATTCAACAACACTTCATGCTAAAAACTCTCAATAAATTAGGTATTGATGGGACGTATTTTCGCAAATCAATAAATGTAATCCAGCATATAAACAGAGCCGAAGACAAAAACCACATGATTATCTCAATAGATGCAGAAAAGGCCTTTGACAAAATTCAACAACCCTTCATGCTAAAAACTCTCAATAAATTAGGTATTGATGGGACGTATTTCAAAATAATAAGAGCTATCTATGACAAACCCACAGCCAATATCATACTGAATGGACAAAAACTGGAAGCATTCCCTTTGAAAACTGGCACAAGGCAGGGATGCCCTCTCTCACCACTCCTATTCAACATAGTGTTGGAAGTTCTGGCCAGGGCAATTAGGCAGGAGAAGGAAATAAAGGGTATTCAATTAGGAAAAGAGGAAGTCAAATTGTCCCTGTTTGCAGACAACATCATTGTATATCTAGAAAACCCCATTGTGTCAGCCCAAAATCTCCTTAAGCTGATAAGCAACTTCAGCAAAGTCTCAGGATACAAAATCAATGTACAAAAATCACAAGCATTCTTATACACCAACAACAGACAAACAGAGAGCCAAATCATGAGTGAACTCCCATTCACAATTGCTTCAAAGAGAATAAAATACCTAGGAATCCAACTTACAAGGGATGTGAAGGACCTCTTCAAGGAGAACTACAAACCACTGCTCAAGGAAATAAAAGAGGATACAAACAAATGGAAGAACATTCCATGCTCATGGGTAGGAAGAATCAATATCGTGAAAATGGCCATACTGCGCAAGGTAATTTACAGATTCAATGCCATCCCCATCAAGCTACCAATGACTTTCTTCACAGAATTGGAAAAAACTACTTTAAAGTTCATATGGAACCAAAAAAGAGCCCCCATCGCCAAGGCAATCCTAAGCCAAAAGAACAAAGCTGGAGGCATCACACTACCTGACTTCAAACTATACTACAAGGCTACAGTAACCAAAACAGCATGGTACTGGTACCAAAACAGAGATATAGGTCAATGGAACAGAACAGAGCCCTCAGAAATAACACCGCATGTCTACAGCTATCTGATCTTTGACAAACCTGAGAAAACCAAGCAATGGGGAAAGGATTCCCTATTTAATAAATGGTGCTGGGAAAACTGGCTAGCCATATGTAGAAAGCTGAAACTGGATCCCTTCCTTACACCTTATACAAAAATCAATTCAAGATGGATTAAAGACTTAAACGTTAGACCTAAAACCATAAAAACCGTAGAAGAAAACCTAGGCATTACCATTCAGGACATAGGCATGGGCAAGGACTTCATGTCTAAAACACCAAAAGCAATGGCAACAAAAGACAAAATTGACAAATGGGATCTAATTAAACTAAAGAGCTTCTGCACAGCAAAAGAAACTACCATCAGAGTGAACAGGCAACCTACGGAATGGGAGAAAACTTTTGCAACCTACTCATCTGACAAAGGGCTAATATCCAGAATCTACAATGAACTCAAACTAATTTACAAGAAAAAAACAAACAACCCCATCAAAAAGTGGGCGAAGGACATGAACAGACACTTCTCAAAAGAAGACATTTATGCAGCCAAAAAACACATGAAAAAATGCTCATCATCACTGGCCATCAGAGAAATGCAAATCAAAACCACAATGAGATACCATCTCACACCAGTTAGAATGGCGATCATTAAAAAGTCAGGAAACAACAGGTGCTGGAGAGGATGTGGAGAAATAGGAACACTTTTACACTGTTGGTGGGACTGTAAACTAGTTCAACCATTGTGGAAGTCAGTGTCGCGATTCCTCAAGGATCTAGAACTAGAAATACCATTTGACCCAGCCATCCCATGACTGGGTATATATACCCAAAGGATTATAAATCATGCTGCTATAAAGACACATGCACACGTATGTTTATTGCGGCATTATTCACAATAGCAAAGACTTGGAACCAACCCAAATGTCCAACAATGATAGACTGGATTAAGAAAATGTGGCACATATACACCATGGAATACTATGCAGCCATAAAAAATGATGAGTTCATGTCCTTTGTAGGGACATGGATGAAGTTGGAAATCATCATTCTCAGTAAACTATCGCAAGAACAAAAAACCAAACACTGCATATTCTCACTCATAGGTGGGAATTGAACAATGAGATCACATGGACACAGGAAGGGGAATATCACACTGTGGGGACTGTGGTGGAGTGGGGGGAGGGGGGAGGGATAGCATTGGGAGATATACCTAATACTAGATGACGAGTTAGTGGGTGCAGCACACCAGCATGGCACATGTATACATATGTAACTGACCTGCACAATGTGCATATGTACCCTAAAACTTAAAGTATAATAAAAAAAAGAAGAAAAAAAAAAGACAGGCATAAGAAATTATAAAAGTATTAATTTCGGGAACTGATAAATGTCCATATTAAAATGAAATCTCCACAATTTATGTTCCTCTGCTGCAGCTCCAGCCGGTCCCTCCATTTGGGGTCCCTGACTTCCCGCAACAATCTTTGCCGATGCCTATGTTCTGAATGGTATTGCCTAGATTTTCTTCTATGGTTTTTATAGTTTGGGGTTTTACATTTGACCCAGCAATCCCATTACTGGGTATAAACCCAAATGAATAGAAATCATTCTATTATAAAGATACATGCACACATATGTTCATTGCAGCACTATTCATAATAGCAAAGACATGGAATCAACCCAGATGCCCATCAATGATAGACTGGATAAAGAAAATGTGGTACATATACACCATGATATACTATGCAGCCATAGAAATGAATGAGATCCTGTCCTTTGCAGGAACATGGATGGAGCTGGAAGCCATTATCCTTAGCAAACTAATGCGGGCACAGAAAACCAAACACCTCATGTTCTCACTTATAAGCGGGAGATGAACTATGAGAGCACATGGACACATTCGGGGAAACAACACACACCAGAACCTTCAGGGGGAGTAGGGGAAGGGAGAGCATCAGGAAGAACAGCTAATGGATGCTGGGCTTAATACCTAGGTGATGGGTTGATCTGTGCAGCAACCCACCATGGCACACATCTACCTATGTAATAAACCTGCACATCCTGCACGTATACCCTGGAACTTAAAGTGAAAGTTGAAGAGAGAAAAAGTAGTAAAGATGGTAAATTTTACATGTATATCTTACCTCAATTTTTACACTTGATCTTAACCAAAAGGCTGAGATGTGATACCTTAATTTTTAAAAAGAGGCTTGATCAGAAAAAATAAATAAAGCTACAGTTATTGAAACATTGTGGTATACTAACACGGACTGCTGTAACAGAATATAAAGTTCAGAAGAAAATACAAGTGTGTGTATATATATCTATATACATTTAAAATTTGATAAAAAGAGATACTTAAAACATTTAGAACAGGCAGGGTGGGGTGGCTCACTCCTGTAATCCCAGCACTTTGGGAGGCCAAGGTGGGTGGATCACCTGAGGTCAGGAGTTTGAGACCAGCCTGGCCAACCTGGTGAAACCGCATCTCTACTAAAAGTATAAAAATTAGCCAGGTGTGATGGTATGCACCTGTAATCCCAGCTACTCAGGAGGCTGAGGCAGGAGAATTGCTTGAACCTGGGAGGTGGAGGTTGCAGTGAGTTGAGATTGCACCACTGCACTCCCAGTCTGGGCGACAGAGCGAGACCCTGTCTCAAAAAAAAAAAAAAAAAAAAAAATTGGAAGGATCTTTGAACACAAGCTGTAGAGTTAAAATAAAGTTGTACCCCTTTATCACAACATTTACTAAAATGAATTTTGAATATGAAAGTATAAAACATAAGATATAAAAAACAAAATCATAAAAATAGTAAAAAAAATAGATGACAATATGAACTTGAGATGGGGAAATAGTTTCAAGCATAACAGCAAAGACAGAAGTCATAAAGTAAAATGTGCATATGCTTGACTGTGTAAAAGTCTGTATGTCAAAAACATCATTAGCATGAGTAGGACAGATTTAATAAGGAAAATATTTGCAGCATCTATGACAAATACTTAATACATGCATTCACATAAGAAGAAAATCTCAGCTTGAGATCTGAGAACGGGCAGACTGCCTCCTCAAGTGGGTCTCTGACCCCCAAGTAGCCTAACTGGGAGGCACCCCCGAGTAGGGGCGGACTGACACCTCACACGGCCGGGTACTCCTCTGAGACAAAACTTCCAAAGGAACGATCAGGCAGCAGCATTTGCGGTTCACCAAATCTGCTGTTCTGCAGCCACCACTGCTGATACCCAGGCAAACAGGGTCTGGAGTGGACCTCTAGCAAACTCCAACAGACCTGCAGCTGATGGTCCTGTCTGTTAGAAGGAAAACTAACAAACAGGAAGGACATCCGCACCAAAAACCCATCTGTATGTCACCATCATCAAAGACCAAAGGTAGATTAAACCACAAAGATGGGGAGAAAACAGAGCAGAAAAACTGGAGACTCTAAAAATCAGAGTGCCTCTCCTCCTCCAAAGGAATGCAGTTCCTCACCAGCAATGGAACAAAGCTGGACGGAGAATGACTTTGATGAGTTGAGAAAAGAAGGCTTCAGACGATCAAATTACTCCAAGCTACAGGAGGAAGTTCGAACCAATGGCAAAGAAGTTAAAAACTGTGAAAAAAAATCAAGACGAATGGATAACTAGAACAACCAATGCAGAGAAGTCCTTAAAAGACCTGATGGAGCTGAAAACCAAGGCACGAGAACTACGTGACGAATGCAGAAGCCTCAGTAGCCGATGCGATCAACTGGAAGAAAGGGTATCAGTGATGGAAGATGAAATGAATGAAAGGAAGGGAGAAGAGAAGTTTAGAGAAAAAAGAACAAAAAGAAATGAACAAAGCCTCCAAGAAATATGGGACTACGTGAAAAGACCAAATCTATGTCTGATTGGTGTACCTGAAAATGACGGGGAGAATGGAACCAAGTTGGAAAACACTGTGCAGGATATTATCCAGGAGAACTTCCCCCATCTAGCAAGGCAGGCCGACATTCAAATTCAGGAAATACAGAGAACACCACAAAGATACTCCTCGAGAAGAGCAACTCCAAAACACATAATTGTCAGATTCACCAAAGTTGAAATGAAGGAAAAAATGTTAAGGGCAGCCAGAGAGAAAGGTCGGGTTACCCACAAAGGGAAGCCCATCAGACTAACAGCTGATCTCTCAGCAGAAACTCTACAAGCCAGAAGAGAGTGGGGGCAAATATTCAACATTCTTAAGGAAAAGAATTTTCAACCCAGAATTTCATATCCAGCCAAACTAAGCTTCATAAGTGAAGGAGAAATAAAACCCTTTACAGACAAGCAAATGCTGAGAGATTTTGTCACCACCAGGCCTGCACTAAAAGAGCTCCTGAAGGAAGTGCTAAACATGGAAAGGAACAACCGGTACCAGCCACTGCAAAAACGTGCCAAATTATAAAGACCATCGAGGTTAGGAAGAAACTGCATCAAGTAATGGGCAAAATAGCCAGCTGACATCATAATGACAAGATCAAATTCACACGTAACGATATTAACTTTGAATATAAATAGACTAAATGCTCCAATTAAAAGACACAGACTGGCAAATTGGATAAAGAGTCAAGACCCATTAGTGTGCTGAACCCATCTCACGTGCAGAGACACACATAAGCTCAAAATAAAGGGATGGAGGAAGATCTACCAAGCAAATGGAAAACAGAAAAAGGCAGGGGTTGCAATTCTAGTCTCTGATAAAACAGACTTTAAACCAACAAAGATCAAAAGAGACAAGGCCATTACTTAACGGTAAAGGGATCAATTCAACAAGAAGAGCTAACTATCCTAAATATATATGCACCCAATACAGGAGCACCCAAATTCATAAAGCAAGTCCTTAGTGACCTACAAAGAGACTTAGACTCCCACACAATAATAATGGGAGACTTTAACACCCCACTGTCAACATTAGACAGATCAACGAGACAAAGTTAACAAGGATGTCCAGGAATTGAACTCAGCTCTGCACCAAACGGACCTAATAGACATCTACAGAACTCTCCACCCCAAATCAACAGAATATACAGTCTTTTCAGAAACACACCACACCTATTCGAAAATTGACCACATAGTTGGAAGTAAAGCACTCCTCAGCAAATGTAAAAGAACAGAAATTATAACAAACTGTCTCTCAGACCACAGTGCAATCAAACTAGAACTCAGAATTAAGAAACTCACTCAAAACCACTCAACCATATGGAAACTGAACAACCTGCTCCTGAATGACTACTGGGTACATAACGAAATGAAGGCAGAAATAAAGATGTTCTTTGAAACCAATGGGATCAAACACACAACATACCAGAATCTCTGGGACACATTCAAAGCAGTGTGTAAAGGGAAGTTTATAGCACTAAATGCCCACAAGAGAAAGCAGGAAAGATCTAAAATTGATGCCCTAACATCACAATTAAAAGAACTAGAGAAGCAAGAGCAAACACGTTCAAAAGCTAGTAGAAGGCAAGAAATAACTAAAATCAGAGCAGAACTGAAGGAAATAGAGACACAAAAAACCCTTCAAAAAATTAATGAATCCAGGAGTGGTTTTTTGAAAAGATCAACAAAATTGATAGACTGCTACCAAGACTAATAAAGAAGAAAAGAGAGAAGAATCAGATAGATGAATAAAAATGAAAAAGGGGATATATCACCACCGATCCCACAGAAATACAAACTACCATCAGAGAATACTATAAACACCTCTACGCAAATAAACTAGAAAATCTAGAAGAAATGGATAAATTTCTCGACACGTACATCCTCCCAAGACTAAACCAGGAAGAAGTTGAATAGACCAATAACAGGCTCTGAAATTGTGGCAATAATCAATAGCTTACCAACCAAAAAAAGTCCAGGACCAGATGGATTCACAGCTGAATTCTACCAGAGGTACAAGGAGGAGCTGGTACCATTCCTTCTGAAACTATTCCAATCAAAAGAAAAAGAGGGAATCCACCCTAATTCATTTGATGAGGCCAGCATCATCCTGATACCAAAGGCTGGCAGAGACACAACCACAAAAGATAATTTTAGACCAATATCCTTGATGAACATTGATGCAAAAATCCTCAATAAAATACTGGCAAACCAAATCCAGCAGCACATCAAAAAGCTTATCCACCATGATCAAGTGGGCTTCATCCCTGGGATGCAAGGCTGGTTCAACATATGCCAATCAATAAATGTAATCCAGCATATAAACAGAACCAAAGACAAAAACCACGTGATTATCTCAATAGATGCAGAAAAGGCCTTTGACAAAATTCAACAACGCTTCATGCTAAAAACTCTCAATAAATTAGGTATTGATAGGATGTATCTCAAAATAATAAGAGCTATCTATGACAAACCCACAGCCAATATCATACTGAATGGGCAAAAACTGGAAGCATTCCCTTTGAAAACTGGCACAAGACAGGGATGCCCTCTCTCACCACTCCTATTCAACATAGTGTTGGAAGTTCTGGCCAGGGCAATCAGGCAGGAGAAAGAAATAAAGCATATTCAATTAGGAAAAAAGGAAGTCATATTGTCCCTGTTTGCAGATGACATGATTGTATATCTAGAAAACTCCATTGTCTCAGCCCAAAATCTCCTTAAGCTGATAAGCAACTTCAGCAAAGTCTCAGGATACAAAATCAATGTACAAAAATCACACCCATTCTTACACACCAACAACAGACAAACAGAGAGCCAAATCATGAGTGAACTCCCATTCACAATTGCTTCAAAGAGAATAAAATACCTAGGAATCCAACTTACAAAGGATGTGAAGGACCTCTTCAAGGAGAACTACAAACCACTGCTCAATGAAATAAAAGAGGATACAAAGAAATGGAAACACATTCCATGCTCATGGGTAGGAAGAATCAATATCGTGAAAATGGCCATACTGCCCAAGGTAATTTATAGATTCAATGCCATCCCCATCAAGCTACCAATGACTTTCTTCACAGAATTGGAAAAAACTACTTTAAAGTTCATATGGAACCAAAAAAGAGCCCGCACCGCCAAGTCAATCCTAAGCCAAAAGAACAAAGCTGGAGGCATCACACTACCTGACTTCCAACTATACTGCAAGGCTACAGTAACCAAAACAGCATGGTACTAGTACCAAAACAGAGATATAGACCAATGGAACAGAACAGAGCCCTCAGAAATAATGCCGCCTATCTACAGCTACCTGATCTTTGACAAACCTGAGAAAACCAAGCAATGGGGAAAGGATTCCCTATTTAATAAATGGTGCTGGGAAAACTGGCTAGCCATATGTAGAAAGCTGAAACTGGATCCCTTCCTTACACCTTATACAAAAATTAATTTAAGATGGCTTAAAGACTTACATGTTAGACCTAAAACCATAAAAACCCTAGAAGAAAACCTATGCAATACCATTCAGGACATAGGCATGGGCAAGGACTTCATGTCTAAAACACCAAAAGCAATGGCAACAAAAGACAAAATTGACAAATGGGATCTAATTAAACTAAAGAGCTTCTGCACAGCAAAAGAAACTACCATCAGAGTGAACAGGCAACCTACGGAATGGGAGAAAACTTTTGCAACCTACTCATCTGACAAAGGGCTAATATCCAGAATCTACAATGAACTCAAACTAATTTACAAGAAAAAAACAAACAACCCCATCAAAAAGTGGGCGAAGGACATGAACAGACACTTCTCAAAAGAAGACATTTATGCAGCCAAAAAACACATGAAAAAATGCTCATCATCACTGGCCATCAGAGAAATGCAAATCAAAACCACAGTGAGATACCATCTCACACCAGTTAGAATGGCGATCATTAAAAAGTCAGGAAACAACAGGTGCTGGAGAGGATGTGGAGAAATAGGAACACTTTTACACTGTTGGTGGGACTGTAAACTAGTTCAACCATTGTGGAAGTCAGTGTGGCGATTCCTCAAGGATCTAGAACTAGAAATACCATTTGACCCAGCCATCCCATGACTGGGTATATATACCCAAAGGATTATAAATCATGCTGCTATAAAGACACATGCACACGTATGTTTATTGCAGCACTATTCACAATAGCAAAGACTTGGAACCAACCCAGATGTCCAACAACAATAGACTGGATTAAGAAAATGTGGCACATATACACCATGAAATACTATGCAGCCATAAAAAATGATGAGTTCATGTCCTTTGTAGGGACATGGATGAAACTGGAAACCATCATTCTCAGCAAACTAACACATGAACAGAAAACCGAACACCTCATGTTCTCACTCATAAGTGGGAGTTCAACAGTGAGAACACATGGACCCGGAAGGGGAACATCACATACTGGGGACTGTTGTGGGGTGGTGGGATGGGGGAAGGATAGCATTAGGAGATATACCTAATGCTAAATGACGAGTTAATGGGTGCAGCACACCAACATGGCGCATGTATACATATGTAACAAACCTGCATGTTGTGCACATGTACCCTAAAACTTAAAGTATAATAATAAAATTTAAAAAAATGAATAAAAAATAAAAATAATATAAATTTTAAAAAGCAGCAGCAGCAAGAGAGATATATGTGGCCCCCAATGCCTAAAATATTTACTGCCTAGTCCTTTACAAATAAATCTGCTAATCCCTCAGACTCAATAACCCAACAATATGGAATACACTGAAGTTAGTGTATATTCATATAGATTGTCCTTGCATACAGTAGAATCATAATGTTTGCTAAATAAATGAATTAATTAGTGGAGGGACACTGTTTTTTCAATGATAGTAAAGGCTATGGACTACTTATCATTTATTCACCAGTGTACACCATGATTTGGTGTGTATGTAGCAGGTAAAAGCAATGGAGGTTTAAGACATACTTGAAAATGGAGGGAGTTGTTTTGTTTACATTTAAAGCTATAGAATAGGGTTTATTTAAAAAAAATGCAAAGTAAAACTACAATAGGAAATAGAGATTCACTGATCACATTGTAAGGATGTTTAAAAATGGCAATACTTAGGGTTGGTTAGGGTTAGGAAAGTGGCCCTCTCGCACTGAATTGGTGGTACAATCTGTCTAGTTGATAGTTTGTCAATATTCATAAAAGTGTTGAAAATATACACATACATGTGGCCCATTTAGGGAAATAGCTGTGGAAAAAACACATCAAATTATGGTTCTTAATAGTGAAAAACTGGAAACAACCTAAAGGGTGAAGATAGAGGGTTGATAATGCAGTTGTCAAATGATGTAGCCATTGCAAACACTGAAGCAGATGCATTTATTCACGTGGAACTAAAAAGTAAGCAGGCTGTGCTGGGTAGGAAGAACAGTGGAAGAACAAGGAAGTTCTGGGGTGTGAAGGAGGCTGGAGGAATGCGGTCTCGATAAGCAGACAACAAGCAAATAAAGGGGAGGCTAGCGTTTACAGGGAGGCTGACTCATGCCCAGGCATTCTCGTTTTAAACTCATCTTCCTGCTAGTCACAACTTGGCTAATGAGTCTTGCTAACAAAAGTACTGAACTCCCCCATCACTAATTGGCCTCTTCCACTCTCTAAGGTCCCAGTTTCTTTCAGACTAAGGACCAAAAAGAAAGTGAATCTCTTTCTGTGCATCCCTTCCCTCTGGCCTTATTAGCAGAGACACAGAAGACAGTCAGGAAATTCCCAGTCTTCCCTCAGCACCTAGGCTGCATTATCCTGAACTCTCATTTGGGAGCTAATTAGGGGATTCTGTTTGTGGAACTTGTAAGCACTTAACTCCCCAATCCTAGCCCTGGCTGTCTCTGTGGGAACCTTTCTTTGAAGACTTGCTGGATAGATATCTCCCGAGACCCTGTTGAACTGGGGAAGTTAGCAAAGTTTATCAGTGAGTTGCTGCTTAACTAAAACGCCAAAATAAACTGAAGTGGTGTGGATCCCAAGAGATTAATCATGCTGTCTCCCAGTGTGGAGAGAGCGGGGGGACACTGTGGCTTCTACAGGCCTGAATTCTTCACTAGTTCATTCATGGAAAGTGAGGGCTAGTGTGGTACAAAGGGCATAGCACTGGCCGGGAGGGGTAGAGTTTTGGGCCTGGGGAGATAAATTCCTACTCTGGCTTTTGTTAGAGAGAGGGCACAACTCTCGAAATAGGGTAACTCCTTCAACTCAAAACCCAATGAAATTTTAACATGTTCTACACTATACTTGTTGACTCAGTAATTCTGTACCTCAATTCATTTAGTCCCCAAAATAATCATATGAAGTTCATGGTATGATTCCCATTCCTATTTTATGGATGGGAAAACTGGGGCCCACAGGGAGGAAATGATCTACCCTGTGTCACACAGCTAGCAAGGAGCAGTGTTAGCCCAGAGCCCCGGCCTCCCAACTTCTCACTCCAATGCTATGTTCACTTGACCAAAGTTAACTTAATGCAACAAGGTGCGTGAGCTTCCCAGCTTGCTGCCTGCCACACAGAAGATGCTGGATTTGTATTTATTTGTCCTTATATTCTGGCCTGGACAACTACCTGTAAATACCAAATAAAGGTAACCCTTTCAGATCCCTGATATCTTTACCCTCCAAGATTTTACAACCATAGTCTAAAAGAGAGGTTAAATATTTTCTGGCTGATGTTTCAAGACTCTTTCCAAAGCTCACCTCTTTCTGTTTCACTTATTGCTACTTCTCAGGCCTTCACGTCTCTTCCTGGCTCACTGTTACCACCTCCAATTCTGGCATCTCTCCAGCTGCTGAAGCCCCAGAATGAACTTCTGCTCATCTGATCCACTGTATAAATAGTTTCTGGGTTTATGCACCGGTACTCAACCTTATTGCCTGTCCGTTTAATAGCTCATAGTCTCTTAATCCCTGCAGTCTTTGGCATCCTGTCTGGGCTTGAGTATTTACTATGTAGTAGGTGAGTGAAAAAAGCCTGAGATACTTGGAAGTGACTAATTTTGTAGATAAAGAATCAAAACTTGAACAGATCTGTAGGCTAAAAATAGCAGAGACTGAATTAAAACTTTGATCTCCATATATTCTGTTGAAGGTTCTCTTCATTCAACTGTACTGCCTTTTGCATTTCTGAAACTCATTGCACCCACAGTCATTATCACTCTGTTTAGTTTTGAATTCTTTGATGATTAACTGGATGCAGGGAAGGAGGCAAAGCTACTGGGCCTAACTCTATGGCCTCTGGCAAGTCACCGAATCTGTCATCTGTGAAGTGAGAATAATAAAAGCTGGCCTTCCTATTTTCTAATCCTGGTCCTGGTTGTCACTGTGGGTTACATTCAACTGTGCCACTGAAAAATTCAAATGAGAACACAGATTTTAAAATTGCTTTGTAAATATTGCTATGTGCTAATAAAATAATAAGATAAAATATACTACTGTTATAATTCTGCTGAGTCCTAGTAGAGCTTTTCTCTGGGCTGGACACAGATGGTAGGATGGATGTGGGAGAAGGAGGTATTGTTGGGATGTGTGTGAGATCATCTCCAAGTAGACATATGTAGATGCCCATGGTGTGTAAAATGACATCTGCTGAGCTTGACACATGGATCGTGGATGTACTCAACAGTTCACAGATGTGTTGAGAACTCACAATGTCTGAAACATGTTTCTTTGAATATGAGCTATCTCAGTTAGGATGGCTGGGCAAAAATTTTGCTAGAAGTTTCTTTTAGTGTCAGGAATCCATGGACTTATATCTGCAAAGATCATACATTCATCCCAACCAAGATTAGTCACCACCTTTGACTGGAATTTCATATAAAGATTCAAAACTGTGCAATAGGGAAGTGGGTGCTGGGGGGACAGGTTGTTGATGGTGGTGCAGGATGAGGGTTGGTGTGGAGTGGAGGGTGATATTTCAATCTTCAGGGACAGGAGATGGAAAGAGGTAAGAAGGTCCACCAGGGCTATTCTCTTAAGGATAAGAGCTGTTTGGTTTGATTCTTCACTTAGATGAAGAGAGATGGACAAGATGACTGCCTCTAAATCTTGATCAAGTGAACAAGGTGGGCTTGTGTTGGATAGATGGGACAACTCACTAGTTTCCTTAAAGGTGAGGATGACGGGACACTCTGAAGGCTGGAGAGAAAACACTATAGTAGACTCATCTTACTACTCATCTTACTACCGCCCCCCCCCCCATATTTTCACCAGTTAGCACTTTAAAAGTTTTATTTATTTAGTTAGTTATTGACAAGTGGGACCTAATTAAAGATCCGCATAGCAAAATAAACCATCAGCAGAATAAACAGACAACCTATGGATTGGGAGAAAATATTCACAAACTGTGCATCTGACAAAGGCCTAATATCCAGAACCTATAGGGAACTTCAACAAATCAACAAGCAAAAATCAAATAATCTCATTAAAAAATGGGCAAAGAACATGAACAGACGCTTCTCAAAAGAAGACATACAAGTGGCCGACAAACCCAGGAAAAAGTGCTCAGCATCACTAATCATCAGAGGAATGCAAATCAAAATCACAATGAGACACCACTTCATACCAGTCAGAATGGCTACTATTAAAAAGTCAACAAGCAACAGATGCTGGCAAGGCTGCAGAGAAAAGAGAACGCTTCTACGTTGTTGGTGGAAATGTAACTTTGTGCAGCCCCTGTGGAAAGCAGTCTGGAGATTTCTCAAAGAACTTAAAACAGAGCTATTATTTGACCCAGCAGTCCCATTACTGGATACATATCCAAAGGAGAGTAAATCATTCTACCACAAAGACACACGCACTTATATGTTTACTACTGAGCTATTCACAATAGCAAAGACATGGAATCAACCCAGGTACCCATCAGTGGTGAGCTGGATAAGGAAAATGTGGTACATATACACTATGGAATACTATGCAGCCATAAAAAGGAATGAAATAATGTCCTTTGCCACAACATGGATGCAGCTGGAGGTCATTCTCCTAAGCAAATTAATGCAGAAAGAGAAAATAAAATACCACGTTCTAATCATTAACAGCTAAGCATTGAGTACACATGGACATAAATATGAGAACAAGAGACACTGTGAACTACTAAAAAGAGGAGGGAGAAGGTGTGGATTAAAAAACTGCCTATCGGGTACTGTGTTCATGACCAAGGTGATGGAATCTGGACTCCAAATCTCAGCATCATGCAGTATTACCAAGTAACAAATCTGCACATACATCTCCTTATCTAAAGTAAAAGTGGAAATTTAAAAAATATATGTATTTAATTTTTTAAAATTACAGAACTCAGTGAAAAACTTTGAATAATACCAGAGTAAATGGAGTAAAAACCGAAAGTCATTCCCCATTTTCCACTGCCCTCCCCAGTCCTATTCCCTCCACAGAGGGAATCACCGTGTGCAGCTTACGGGTTTTCCTCCAGGATTTTCAGCCCATACACATGTTTACATCATCATCACTTTCTCAATTTAGTCATATGTGCTATACAACTTCTCATGTCAATACGTTCACTCTTCTTTTTAAACAAATATATGCTTTTTATTTAAATTATTTACATAAAACATGAATTATTTATATTTGCATAGCAGAGTTAAAAACTCTTTACTTTAGAAGATGAATTAAGGAAAGACAAACACTGACACAACTTGTGATCACTCATTTATTATTACACTTCTCTCTGTAATGCTTTCCCAAGTCTTTGGATATTATAGGATTTCCCAACCTATAGTGTTATGCTCAGATTTTGCTAATTAAATGCTCTGTTTATAATTTTTTGCAAGAAGGAGGTACTTCTTTGGTTTTAGTTTCAGGGTTTTTTTGTTTGAGGAGAAATGATATTGCATTTCATGCACAAAGTTAGGAAGCCTTTTCCCTGTTATGTCAAATTCAATGATTGTCTTTATTTCATCAGAAGAAAATTTATCTTTAAAAAATTTTCTCTTTATATCTTTATACTATCCTAATATTGGGACCTTGAGGATATTTTGAAAACATCTAGCAGTTTCACTGACTTCCTATGTGGAAGACAAATTTCTTATCATAAGTCATGCTTTCTGCTATCAAATAACCCACAAGATGGCTTGAACATCAGCTATCTACTCAGCACTCTGTTGTGTGTTTGGAAGACATAATATAAGACATGGATCCCGTCCTTAAGGAGATTATAACCTAGCTGGGAAGAATAAAAGAAGCTGGAGGAATACAGAGAAAATTATGATGCTGTCATGCTGTGTAGGCTACACTCTTTCAGAGGAGATTAAGAACACTGAATACAAACCAAGGGCTTCATGAGCCACCTAAGTGAGCACCCGTGGTTGAAAGATGAAGATTGAGTGGAGAAGCCAGGAAGGAATGATGGAAGACTTTGCCTACCTGAGAAAGGTCTAGATTTGATCAGAAAGACTTGGCAGCCTTTGGCAGATGAAATGACACTGAGCAGATATTGTTCCAGGGGATTAATGGGGCAGTGTAGACAGCACTGAGTTAGGGAGGAGCCCAGGGCTCAGAGACTGTTGGATGGCATGGGTCCCAGCTGGGAGGCAGCTGTCTGCCAGAGGACAATGGTGTAAGAGAGTCCAGCATAATGTTCAGTGGGACCCAACGGATGGCTGGATGTGGAGAATAACTGTGGATACCTCTGTGTGCTGAGATAATCTAAGGCCCCTTAAGGGTTCCCTGCTGCCCTCCTCAAATAATAAGCATGTCGGACAAGGTGAGTCTTCAACTTCCAACTTCTTGTCCAGGAAGTGCCTGAAGGATTTACAGAATAAGTTCTAGAAATGGCCACGATAGTGCACGAAATTGACTATGATTCTATTATTTCTCTCTGGATTGCCGTAATTTCACTCTGTTGTTAAAATCTCAGGTTCCAGTACTTACTCATTGATAAATTGCAAATGATATTCCCCTCTAGTTTCCCCTTCTTATCAGTCTCCTCACCTTTACTAATTATCTGTACGTATGAATTAAACAGAATGTCCAACATAAATCAGTGTATTTTGCCATTGAAAGTAAAACTTATGGCCAGGTGCAGTGACTCACACCTGTAATCTCAGCACTTTGGGAGACTGAGGCGGGTGGATCACATGAGGTCAGGACTTCAAGACCAGCCTGGCCAATATGGTAAAACCCCGTCTCCAGTAAAAATACAAAAATTAGCCGGACGTGGTGGCAGGCACCTGTAATCCCAGCTATCGGGAGGCTAAGGCAGGGGAATCACTTGAACCCAGGAGGCAGAGGCTGCAGTGAGCCAAGATCGTGCCGCTGCACTCCAGCCTGGGCGACCGAGCGAAACTCCATCTCATAAATAAATAAATCTATCTTACTAGTTATTAATGCTTCTTCTCAGGGAACATACAGTGATACATTCTTATGTTTCTGGTCAGGGGGCGGGGGCAGGTTGTGAGAATAGGCTCATGCACTGCCATGTACCTGTGTTGTCCCTACTAATAAGTAGTCAGAAAGGGGCTGCAGTTTTGGGAACAGGTGTTTGATGATGTTGCTCTGAAGAAGGTGCTTGCAGGGTGCTCTGACAAGTACCAACACTCTGCTCCTAGTGTATGTCAAGCCCAAATTTAACTTTACAATACTAGACCTATTTCTTAAAGTAGAGCCTTTTAAAAATCACACCCAACACTCGAATACAAATATAGTTTTGCTAAAAAGGAGGCCAGACATTTCATTTTTATTAACATTTTATATATGTTTCAATTGAACAATCATTAAATTAAAAAAATACAAAATAGTTTGTCTCCCGCTACCTGACCCACATCATATTTTTCTCTTGTCTTCAATTCACTTTGTATCAGTAACTTAGATACTCTCTCACCTAAGCTTTTGCCTTTCTCCTCAATCCAAGGCAGACCACACTCTACCCTGACCAAGACTATCTACTTTCCTCCCATTTTATGACCCGACGCTGAGGATTTTTCCTGCCCATACCTAGTCCTTCAGCATAAGAAAGTCGGGGGGTTGCTCGAGGAGGGAGGTTGCATTTTGAACCCCATCTTCTCAAGCTGGGGGCCTCTTCCCTGTCAGCACCCTTTTCAGGGTGCCCTGCACATCAGGGTTCTGGAGGCTGTAAATGACTGGGTTCAGCATGGGACTGAGGATAGTGTTGAGGATCCCAATCCCCTTATCTTTGTCTGAGGCTGAGACTGAGCCCAGACACATGTAACTGAAGAAGCCAGTTCCATAAAAGATTCAGACCACAGTGAGGTGGGAGCCACATGTGGAGAAAGCCTTCTTCCTCCCCTCAGCTGAGCGGATTTGTAATATTGCAGCTGTGACGTGGGCATAGGACACTGAGATAAAGATCATGGGGATCACTCCTATGAAGGTGGCCCCCACAAGCAGCAGCTGCCCATTGAGGTGGATGCTGGAGCAAGAGAGCTGGAAAAGAGGTGGGAGGTCACAGTAGAAGTGGTTGACCACATTAGGGCCACAGAAGTCAAGCGCAGACACAGCCACTGTGTGAGTCAGAGCATTGATGAAGGAGACAGTGCAGCAAATTCCCACCAGGGCACCCTGGACTTCACAGCTCATGCGAGTGCTGTTGGTGAGAAGCTGACAGATAGCCAGGTAGCGGTCATAGGCCATGGCTATTAAGAGGTGACAGTCCACCCCAGCCAGGAGGTGGGGAAAGAAGAGCTGTGAACTGCAGGCAGCATAGGGAACTCTGCACTGGTGGGCCTGGAGACACGCCAGCATCGGAGGAACAGTGACTGATGCACCCGACGTCCAGCAGAGATGTCCAGTAGATGAGTGGGTTCAGCATGGGGCTGATGACAGTGTTGAGGATGCCAATGCCCTTGTCCTTGTCCGAAGACTCCACTGAACCCAGCCTTGTGTAGCTGAAGACGCCCGTCCCATAGAAGATGCCCACCACAGTGAGGTGGGAACTACACGTGGAGAAGGCTTTCTTTCTGCCCTCTGCAGAGCGGATTCGCAGGACTGCAGCTGCCACATGGGCATAGGACACAGTGATGAGGACCAAGGGGGCCACACCCATGAAAGCTGCTGCTACAAACAGCAACTGCCCATTGAGATGAACACTGGAGCAGGAGAGCTGGAAGGGCTGTGGGAGGTCACAGTAGAAGTGATTGATCACATTGGGGCCACAGAAGTTAAGAGGAGACAGGGCAACAGTTTGGGTCAGTGCATTGGTGAAGGAAAAGACACATGACATGCCCACCAGGGCTTGCTGGATTCCCCAGCTCATGCGGCTGCTGTAGGTGAGGGACTGGCAGATGGCCAGATAGCGGTCATAGGCCATGATGGTCAGCAAGAAGCAGTCTGCCCCAGCCAGGAGGTGGAAGAAGAAGAGCTCGGAGAGGCAGGCCTTATAGGGAATGCTTCTGTCGTTGGATATGAAATGGCTCAGCATGGCAGGGACAGTGACACTGACACACCCCACATCTGGCAGGGACAAGTTCCCCAGGAAGAAGTACATGGGGCTGTGGAGTTTGGTTTCCATAAGGATGGCCGCCAGGATGCTGAGGGTGCCTCCAATGGTAGTGACGTAAGCAAGAAGGAAGATGACAAAGAGGATGGGCTGTAGAGCTGCAGTCTCTGTGAGGCCCAGCAGGACAAACTTGGTCACAACTGAATCATTCCCTGAGTTCCCCAGATCCATGGCTGTCTTCCACTAGCAGTGGACTGAGCAGTGTTAGATGGGGCCGGTGGTGGCAGAAGCAGGATGAGGTGTTGATAACAATCATCAATGAGATCTTGATAGCAATGTCCAGGACAGGGCCGGGATGGAAGAACGCATGAAATGTAAGGGGAAGGAAGTTGAAGATTTAGATGTAGTATGAAAAGACTTGATATCTGACTCTTAATGGGTAACAAGAGTGGCATTGGACAGACTCAAACAGAGATCCATGAATTGATGTAGAAAGGGGAACAAATGTTACATTAGAAAGGTAAAGGGAAAAATTATTTTCCTGAGGCCAAAGTTCTGGGAGGAAACCCCAAGTCTACAGATGGTGGCATGGCCATAGTTGAGGTACACAAGATCCCAGAGGATGAAAGGGAAGCTTCGGGGAAGCAGGAAAGCATGCTCCCCACAACCTGTGTCCCTGCACCCCCCGCATACACGTGCTGTCATACACCATGGCAGTAGTGAGATGCCTGTCGTGGCCCAGACTATTAAAAGATTAACATGCGAGGCCATGAGATTTGGTCCGGACATTTCAGAAAAAAAGCGAAATGAGATGAAAAACAGTGAAACTAAACGAGGAAACATCACCGAGGACATTTCCAGCTCCATAGCTGGTGACTACCAGCCTTTTAGATTTTCCAAGTAGTAATATTACATTGCATTTCTCCGTATAGAGTCTGGGAAATTTGGGCTCAAAAGTACTGACCGTTTACCAAATATGAAGAATGTAAAAAGGGCTTTTGAGTAGGGTGAGTCTCCAGGCTTAGGCTCCCAGGTGGGTTTGGTGGATACCAAGTAACGCTGTTTCATTGAATATACAGGTGAACTCTCACACAAATAGAGTCTTAGGTAAGCAGATACCCACACCCTGAATTCCCCATGCCTCCAACTCCACCATCACTGAGCTTTTCACTCTTCTGTCTCCTGGTTCTAATTACGCATCATCCAACACACATGCTATTTATCTGATCACCAGATAGGGCCAAAGTCTTTTACAGTGCCATGAACTGCCCACATATATGATCACTTAGGTAATGCTTTTCTTTTCCCAGCCCTAATCACTGCTAATAAAATACTCGGCCGGGCGTGGTGACTCACACCTGTAATCCTAGCACTTTGGGAGGCCGCGGTGGGTGGATCACCTGAGGTCAGGAGTTCGAGACCAGCCTAGCCAATATGGTGAAACCCCGTCTCTACTAAAAATACAAAAATTAGCTGGGTGTGGTTGCAGGTGCCTGTAATCCCAGCTACTCGGGAGGCTGGGGCAGAAGAATTGCTTGAACCTGGGAGGTGGAGGTTGCAGTGAGCTGAGACAGCGCCACTGTACTCTAGCCTGGGTGACAGAGCGAGACTCAGTCTCAAAAAATAAAATAAAATACTCAGTGATCCACCTCAACCTCTGGCTGAGGGATAGATATTTAAGTCTCTCACATGGAGGCTAACTCATCCAGGGAAGGGGTGGAGTTGGAGACCACTAGGGGGCAAAAGGCATGAGCAGAGGAAGATATTTCCCAATGATTAAATGTGGAGAATGCCGTCCTCAGGTCTCCAGAGGGTCAATTACCATCTAATAGTATGGCCTTTTCTGCATGGACATGCTCTTACCATTACCTCAAACTCAGTCTCTCCAAATCAGAACCGTCCTTCTTCAATCTCAATCTGCTTTGGACTAAGTATTTTGGTAGCAGCATTGCCATCCTCCCCGTGAGTAGCGCTTGAAAGCTTAGTCATTACTGATTCTTCCCTCTCTCTAACCCTGCACATTGAAGCACCCAAATCCCACTGGATCTTTTTGGGTGGAGTGAGAAGCTGTTTCAGAGCCCAGAGGGTGAACTTCATTTGTATGGAGACCAAGCTGTGAGAGTACAGTGAGGAGTCTTGAGATGAGACTCACCCGGCCAAAGAGATGGGCAAAGAGGAGGAGGGACAGTCCCGCCGGCCCAGCAGCCTCTGCAGAGGGGATGGCTTATAAAGGACAGACAGACAAAGGGACAAGCAACTCCGCTGACATCATTTTCACACTGGGATTTTTCTCCTCCTCATTGTTCCCCTGGAGGCCTCAGAAATTAGCACCTTCCAGGGGGAGCCAGAACCAGGTAAAGACACCTGCCTTTGCCAAAGACATAATGACCTCAAATATTTTTAAAATGTTATGGACTTGTCAAAATGTTTCCAAGTACAGCCTTCTTCAATATGGCAAAATTCATTCATTTATTTAACAAAAATATTTTTGAGCACTGGTGAAACGGCACTCTTGTAATCAACATTTTATAGAGTTAAAATGAACATCTCAAAGACTTAAAATCCTGAAAGTCACCTTGTGTTGGGGACGGTGTTGAGATTTTGGGTTTCTGATTTAATCCAGCCCATCATCTTGGGTGGGGACAGGAGAGGAGAGGAGCAGTGACTTGTGACTTTCTCACCTGGCCTGCAGCATGGGGCTGGGAGGAGGCCAGAGCCTAGGTCAGGATTTCCTCCTGTTTCATCCCTGGATCAGTGTTCTTGCCATCATCTCACAAGGTCACCTCCCATCACAGCTCACGTGAGCCATCCTCAAGCCCGGCTTCTCTTCTAGTCTCAGTCAAGCGCTTTGCCTTTTTCTGGGCTCCCACAGTGTAATCTAGAACCTGTAGCATCCTGGCTCAAAATGTTTTCTAGTCTCATGCCTCCAACACCACAAAGGAAGATAAAGGGTTAGAGGACTTTTAGAACAGGACCATCTACTTTCACTAACATCTAATGGTGGCTTCAGACATCAACTGCAATTTTAATTCCTTGTTCATTAATTAAGCATTCTCACTGACTCTCATTAACAGGTTTGGAAGAAGCTCTTTGCAGGATCACTTGAGGAAACTCATAGTGGCTTAAGCCTGTCATGGGCCAAGGAGGAGTTGTCAGAGAATTAGGATGGATTGGGATTTCTGTTGACAGCTGTCCTTGTAAGAGGCTAAGTTGCAGAGCTCAAATAGAACCCATTATTTCTGCTTTCTCCTGACATACCGGAGGCTGTGTCGTCTCCTTTTCTGACACAATGTTAAGGAAGGGAACTTCCTCCTTGAAGACTCATTGCAGGTCTCCTCCTTTCCAGAAACTGCCTATGAGTCCCTGGGGCCAGGCTAGGAGGCCTTCCTCTGTCTTCCCATAGCAATCCAAAGGCAGTACATGCAGGCGATCCTCAGTTTTTATCTCCCTCCCAGACACTAAGTTGTTGACCCTAATGCCTGTGTGTTGGATATTTCTACCTGAACATCCCACAGGAACCCAAGATGTACAAAACCTTTTGTACAAAATGCGCACACACACAAGCACGCGTGCGTGTGTAAATCCAGTTGAACCACATGCCTTGTTGTGGAAAAACTTGGAAGTATAAGAGTGACACTCACTTATGTTTGACTCTATAAACCCAATTTTTGTTCTTAGTCTTTCTCTTACACTAACAATGTCTTTTGAAGTTATTAGTGGTTTTTGTTTTCTATTTGATTTTAAGTGGTTCTTAGTCTTTCTCTTACACTAACAATGTCTTTTGAAGATATTAGTGGTTTTTGTTTTCTATTTGATTTTAAGTGGAGAAAATAAAAGGGGTTACGGTTTTTTTTTTTTTTTTGAAGAGTAGTAGAGCACAGTGATCCCCTGCACTCTCCCTATTCCACATGGAGAGGGGCTAAGGTTGAGCGTCACTAGACTACACACACTATGGCAAGCTTTTCAGTAGAAAGGGACCCCACCCCCCACAAACACTCTATATATTTGTAGGAATTGGAAGGGGGAGTGGGAGCATCTAGGTAACTGCATTACATCTGGTGCCTCCTGGATGAGGAAGTAACCTCATCAAAATGGGGGTGGCTGGATGCGGTGGCTTGTGCCTCTAATCCCAACAGTTTGGGAGGCTGGAGTGGGGGGATTGCTTGAGGCCAGGCGTTCTAGATCAGGGGCAACATAATGAAACCCTGTCTCTACAAAAAAAATTAGCTGACTGTGGTGGCACAAACATGTAGTCCCAGCTACTTGGGAGGCTAAGGTAGGAGGATTGCTTGAGGCCAGGAGTTTGAGGCTGCGTTGAGCTATGATGGCGCCATAGAATTTCGGCCTGGGTAACAGAGCAAGGCCTGTCTCTAAAAAAACAGGCAAACAAACAACAACCAAAAAAGGCAGAGCCTCCAGTGGAGCTCAGCCACTGTTGGCTTGTTCTTCCACTGAGCTGCTGAACCACCTTCTTGAGTATCCAGAGCTGCTTGTTCCGCACACCAAATGCTCCTCTTCACCTTGCTTAACAGAGATAGGATCCTGCCACTCATTATTTGGCATCTATTAATTGAGCACAGTACTATTTTTCAGGTAATATGCTAGTAAAGAGGTGACCAAATACAGACATGCTCCCTCCCTACATGGAGCTTATCAGCTCATAAAGAAGGAAGGCACGAACCAAATAATTACCACCTAATCACTATTCCTATGCACGTGTCCACACACGTCTAATCATTTGTGGTTTACAAAAGGTATGATATTTAATAGAATTTTATTACAAAAGGTATGATATTTAATAGAATTTTATTTTCAACTTTCTTTTACTGTCTTTATATTTGAGCTTCGTGTAATATATTATTCTTCAAAATTTTATGATTTTCTAATATGCTACCATTTGCATGTGCTAACATTCACTTAACCATTGCATACTTAGTTTTCAATTTTTTGCCATTATGAATAATAATACAACAAAGTATTTGCATCTCTGATTTTTGTCCTATGTCATGAGTAATCTCTACCTCCCTAATTTGTGCAAGGATCTCGTCTCTTCCATTGATACTCTACATTCCCAAGACTAGATTCCTTGTTACCTCATGACAAAAGTAAAAATTACTCAGTTATATTTTATATAAGGGGCAGGGAAACATGTAGTCTTCATATCCCCTGCTTATATTCTTCATATTCCTTGCCTATATCTTTGTTTCAAGGGGAGTTTTGATTGGCTTCAAGGCCTGGTGGATTGGTGGTTAACAGAGGTATTTTAACTCTGTCAACTGTGAAGGAAAAAAACGAAGACATACCTCTCCACCCCTCTAGACGCAGACATCAGTACATGTCCCCCTAAATACTTAAGCATGCATATCATAACACAACTTCAATATGTTTATGTCTGTTGTTTATGCAAACTTAATATGCAGTGAAACACAGAAATGTGAAGTGCACACTTACTGAGTTTTGACAAATGCATACACTTACCAAAATACAGAACATTGCCAGCACCCAAAAATGTTACCCCGTACCTTTCTCCAGTTAAAAAATGACTACTCAAAAACAATTATTGTTCTGATTTTTTCAACATAGATTAATTCTACCTATTCTAAAACTTTATATAAGTGGAATCGTACAGTGCATATGCCTTTATGTAAGGCTTCCTTTACTCAACATAATGGATTTTATAGTCATTCATGTTGTAGCATGTATCAATAGTTTATTTTTTATTGCTGAAGTATTCCATCGTATGAATATACCTAGTTTGTTTTTAAATGATTGGTAGAATTCTCCTATGAAATCATATGGACCGCAGGCTTTTGAAGGAAGGGAGGACCAAAGCTTTGTCAATATTTCTGTTTTTTGTTCTGTTTAAATTTTCTTTTTCTTCGTAAACAGTTTTGGGAAATTGTATTTCCTTAGAAAACTACTCTGGCCATGATGATGAAGTGACAGGGACCAGATTTACTCTCCCATTTTAAACAGCTAAGAAACCAAACAAAATCTATGAAGCAGTGGATACCATGCAGGGCAGGACGGTGAATCCTTACCTCTAGAGCAGTGTGAGAAATACAGTTGCCTCAGCTTATTGCCAGAAAGAGTGGCCAACCACACCCAGGGCAAGGAGAACCCAAACAGAGCCCAGTGGTCTTCTGAATTGAGGAGACAGAGTTCAGGCTGGCTGTGGCAGCACGAATTGGTGAGGGAAAGTACTGGAGAAGAGGGAGCTTCACAGATAGACAGCTCCAGAGTCCTGCAGGTGGGTCTTCGCCGGTCCTTGGCTGCATTGGAATCTGTGTGTGCATGAGAGAAAACTCTAACATCCGGAGAGAAAAACACTATAAGGCAGTAGGAAGGAAAAGTCTCTGAGGCGTAGAGCCAAGAATGGTTCATGTGCTCACCAGCCATCACACAGGTTGTGTAGAGTCCTACAAAGAGTGTTGTCTCAGTCCCCCTAATCAAAGCCAAGCTGCAATACATGTAGAGTCTGCTTTATTTTTGGCTTACTGTTACTTTGGCTTACTGTTATTTTGGTACATATATATATATATATATTATTAGTATAATAATTAGTATATATATATATTAGTACCAAAACTTCTAATATATATATATAATATATATATTTATATCTATATCTATATCTATTTATTTATTTTGAGATGGAGTCTCACTCTATCGCCCAGGCTGGAGTGCAGTGCCATGATCTCGGCTCACTGCAACCTCCGCCTCCCAGGTTCAAGCGATCCTTCTGCCTCAGCTTCCCCAGTAGCTGGGATTACAGGCACCTGGCTAATTTTTTTTTTTGAGATGAAGTCTTGCTCATTCGCCAGGCTGGAGTGCAGTGGTGTGATCTTGACTCACTGCAGCCTCTGCCTTCCGTGTTCAAGCGATCCTCCTGCCTCAGCCTCCTGAGTAGCTGGGACTACAGGCATGCACTACCACACTTAGCTAATTTTTGTATTTTTTTTTTAGTAGAGACGGGGTTTCACCATGTTGGCCAGGATGATCTCGATCTCTTGGCTTCGTGATCTGTCTACCTCAGCCTCCCAAAGTGCTGGGATTACAGGCATGAGCCACTATGCCTGGCCTGGTTGTAGAAGTTTGAAATATATTTTGGATACTTCAGAACAGCTATATATGCTGAAAATCAAATTTGTAGCTTGCCTTTTCACTTAGAAAATCATTGTCATATGATGAGTAGAGGCTTGAAATTTTAGTGTAGGCAAATTGCTGTCTTATTTTTTAGATAACTAAAGTTCTTTCAACTTATTTAAGAAATATTTACCTCCTAAAATATTATAAAGATATTCCACAGAATATGTTCAATGATTTACATTTTTACTCTTCAGTATAAGTATCACATCTACCTGAAACTGACCTTTATGCATGGCGTGAGAAAGACATATAATATCATTTTTTTCTTTGTGGTTCCTCAGTTGCTCCAGCACTATTTATTGAAAGACTTGTCCTTTCCTACTGATCTATTGGCCACCATGTCATGGATCAAATTTCCATATATTATTTACAGGTCCTCTAATGTGTTATTTTGGTTGATTTCTCTAATTTTGCTCAAATATAACACTATTTAAATTACTATTCCTTTAAAATATGTTGTGATGAACAGGGGCAGCCTAGTGAGATAGAAAGTTGTACTGTGGGTGGCAGCCGCTTTTAGCCCGAACTGAGTACTGGCCTTCCCAGAATGAGCATGACATTGGATATGGAGCCCTAGGCTCACACAGTGCATGACAGATACCAGGCACTTTGACGAGACCAACAGCAAAGCATCTGCAGATGAAATGTGGCCACTAGCCCTTTCCCAGTCGGTCAACATCCTGCAGGTGGAGGCATGTAGGATTGTACATGTGCAAGAATTTCTTTTGGGTCTCTAATTAGGAACGGAATTAGTGCAACTATATTTAAAGAATAAAGCCCAAATTGTGTTTTCATGTGATAGTACAATTTTATGATCTCACCAGCAGTGTATAAAAATTTTTGTTGCTCCAGTTTCAGCTTTCTACATATGGCTAGCCAGTTTTCCCAGCACCATTTATTAAATAGGGAATGTTTTTGTCAGGTTTGTCAAAGATCAGATGGTTGTAGATGTGTGGTATTATTTCTGAGGGCTGTGTTCTGTTCCATTGGTCTATATATCTGTTTTGGTACCAGTACCATGCTGTTTTGGTTACTGTAGCCTTGTAGTATAGTTGGAAGTCAGGTAGTGTGATGCCTCCAGCTTTGTTCTTTTGGCTTAGGAATGTCTTGGCAATGTGCGCTCTTTTTTGGTTCCATATGAACTTTAAAGTAGTTTTTTCCAATTCTGTGAAGAAAGTCATTGGTAGCTTGATGGGGATGGCATTGAATCTATAAATTACCTTGGGCAGTATGGCCATTTTCACGCTATTGATTCTTCCTATCCATGAGCATGGAATGTTCTTCCATTTGTTTGTATCCTCTTTTATTTCGTTGAGCAGTGGTTTGTAGTTCTTCTTGAAGAGGTCCTTCACGTCCCTTGTAAGTTGGATTCCTAGGTATTTTATTCTCTTTGAAGCAGTTGTGAATGGGAGTTCACTCATGATTTGGCTCTCTGCTTGTCTGTTACTGGTGTTATTTGGCTCTCTGCTTGTCTGTTATAGGAATGCTTGTGATTTTTGCACATTGATCCCTTCGTTACACCTTATACAAAAATTAATTCAAGATGGATTAAAGACTTAAATGTTAGACCTAAAACCATAAAAACCCTAGAAGAAAACCTAGACAATACCATTCAGGACATAGGCATGCACAAGGACTTCATGTCTAAAACACCAAAAGCCATGGCAACAAAAGCCAAAATTGACAAATGGGACCTAATTAAACAAGAGCTTCTGCACAGCAAAAGAAACTACCATCAGAGTGAACAGGCAACCTACAGAATGGGAGAAAATTTTTGCAATCTACTCATCTGACAAAGGGCTAATATCCAGAATCTACAAAGAACTTAAAGAAATTTACAAGAAAAAGTCAAACAACCCCATCAAAAAGTGGGTGAAGTATATGAACAGACACTTCTCAAAAGAAGACATTTATGCAGCCAACAGACACATGAAAAAATGCTCATCATCACTGGCCATCAGAGAAATGCAAATCAAAACCACAATGAGATACCATCTCACACCAGTTAGAATGGCAATCATTAAAAAGTCAGGAAACAACAGGTGCTGGAGAGGATGTGAAGAAATAGGAACACTTTTACACTGTTGGTGGGACTGTAAACTAGTTCAACCATTGTGGAAGACAGTGTGGCGATTCCTCACGGAACTAGAACCAGAAATACCATTTGACCCAGCAATCCCATTACTGGGTATATACCCAAAGGATTATAAATCATGCTGCTATAAAGACACATGCACACGTATGTTTATTGTGGCACCATTCACAATAGCAAAGACTTGGAACCAACCCAAATGTCCATCAGTGATAGACTGGATTAAGAAAATGTGGCACATATACACCATGAAATACTATGCAGCCATAAAAAAGGATGAGTTCATGTCCTTTGTAAGGACAGGGATGAAGCTGGAAACCAGCATTCTCAGCAAACTATCACAAGGACAGAAAACCAAACACCGCATGTTCTCACTCATAGGTGGGAATTGAACAATGAGAACACTTGGACACAGGAAGGGGAACATCACACACCAGGGCCTGTCGTGGGATGGGGGGAGGGGGGAGGGACAGCATTAGGAGATATACCTAATGTAAATGACGAGTTAATGGGTGCAGCACACCAACACAGCACATGTATACATATGTAACAAACCTGCACATTGTGCACATGTACCCTAGAACTTAAAGTATAATTTAAAAAAAAAAGAAAAAAATTTTTGTTGCTCAATATTTTCATCAAAACTTGATATTATGTCGTTTCTTCATTTAGGCCAATAGTACATGTAAAATAGTGTCTCTATTGTGATTTTATTTAATTAATTAATTAATTTATTTATTTTGAGACCGATTCTCACTCTGTTGCCCAGGTTGGAGTGCAGTGGTGTGATCTCAGCTCACTGCAACCTCTGCCTCCCAGGTTCAAGTGATTCTCCTGCCTCAGCCTCCCGAGTAGCTGGGATTACAGGCATGTGCCACCATGCCCAGCTAATTTTTGTATTTTTAGTAGCAATGGGGTTTTGTCATGTTGGCCAGGCTGGTCTCGAACTCCTGACCTCAGGTGATCCCCCCACCTTGGCCTCCCAAAGTGTGAGGATTACAGGCGTAAGCCACTGCTCCCAGCCTCCATTGTGATTTTAATTTACATTTGCTAGAAGAAGCTGAAAAGGCTGGCACAAAAGTCAGAGTCTTGAGGGCAGAGACAGTCATAGTGATCAGATGATGTCATAAAAGTTGTTTTTTGAAGCAGATTAAAAAAAAAAAAGAGGGAAGGGAAAGTCTTATAGAAAAGTTGTTAAAATCATGCTTTGTGGCTTGAGGTCCAGCTCTGCTACATCCTAGATAGGTAACATTAAGTAAGTTACTAAACTTCCCCGAGCCTCAAATTCCTCCTCTGCAAAGTGGAGCAAATAACAAAGCCATGTCAAAGAGTTGTCCAGAAAATTAAGATAATGCACCAAAATAAAGCAAATATTAATGATTGCCATTTTATTAGTATTAATATTTGTTGATCCCCTACCAAGTGCTTTAACTATTATTTTATTTAATTCTTAGACCAACCCTCTGTGGTTGGAAATATTATTCTGTTTTTACACATGAAGAAATGGAAGGCCAGAGTTGCTGAGCAGCTGGTCCTAAGGCACGCCGTCAGTCACTGGAAAAGCAAGTGTGAGTGTACACCACGTCAGTGTTTTTCTTACCAGGCTCTTCTGGGGAAGTGTGAAGGGCTGGAGGTTTTGCAGCAAAGGAAATGCAAGGTCTCCATCATGGTGGGCACTTCCTGTTTGAACAGGGAGTAGGACATTGAGGGAGGGCTCGGCAACCTCTCCACATTCGCCGTTCATTAACCTCATCACCAAGAGTCTCAACTTCTAAGGTCCTGGCCTAGAGAATTACAGTGGGAAGAGACGTCCCTCAGGACCCCTTGGTCCCTCCTAACTGAACTCAGCTCTTCTACCACCAATTCCAAAGTCATGATGGGGTCCCCAAGATGCAATTCCAGTGCCCCCCAGTGCCCCCGATTAACAAGGTCCTGAGGGAGAAAGCACTGCATTCCTGAGGACTCATTAGAAAGCCAAGGTTGGAGAAAGCTTCTCCCTTTTGTCTCCATTCTTGTGCCTCCTTCTCACCTCCAGGGCAAGCCTGAGAGTCAGCTCTCTCTGCTCAGAACTCTTGTTCCGAGAGGAATCTGGGAGAACAACGCTCTGTCTGGATACTTACTCTAGCCTCAGCACCACCATTAGATCCACTGTGGCTTTGTGAAGATGAATAAATTCTCTGGACTTCATTGGTGTGGTATGATAAATGGGATTATTAATACTCCCTAATTACCCCCATGAAACTAATATGAGGGGTGCAGTAAGGAGTTGGAGGGGAGGCCTCTTTGAGAAAATCAAAAGCATCACAAAGTCATAAGGCATCATTATTGGGTTCATTAAAAGCTTGGGTTGTTTATTGCTCTGTGGCTCCCTAAACCTCCGAACCTTCCTGGAAGGGCTAATTCTGAGATCCCCAGAGGCTGACACGGCAGTGGATAGATGACTGGATGATCTCATTTCTGGCTCACTCGTTTTCTCGTATATGGCCCTTCTTTGCTCTCCGGAGCACAGGCCTGCACAGTGCTTCACCCGCTTCCTTTCCCTTCAATAGAAACCTTGCTGGCCTCTGTATCCACAACGAGGTGAGGACTCTCCGGGGGCCCCCTTCTGCTCCCTAATAATAGAGGTGGCATTTGAGTTGTTACCAAGTGGTCAAATCTCTTATTTCATGGAGGACTTACTAGAGAAAGAGAGTCTTGTTCGAGATAACATATCAAGTGAGAGAAAGATCTGGGACTCTCCCATGCCAGGGCACGTTGCCAATGCCCGTCCTTCCTAGATGAGGCCTGCTTTCTCTTTTTACTGAAGTGAGTAGGAGGGCACTCAGAGAATCCAACCTTCCTGCCTGGACCCATTTCTCGGGGAGCAACGCTGAACCAGGTTCCTACAACAGAGGGTTGTATTGAGTCACGATCATCAGATGCATAAAGGACTTAGTTGGAATGTTGGAGCAGGGATCCAGGATCACTCAATAAGGGCAGCCTGAGCCTCAAGCTGGATGCCTGAGAGTGGTAATCCAGGTGAGTCTCTACAGGTGAGGTCATCACTGTGATCCTGTGTAAGACAGGCTTCTTGGAAACATAGACCAGTGTTCATCCTAGACTCTTGTTGGGTTATATGGCATCTCTGTGGGGTGTACTCTTCTAGCCTATTCTTATTTATTCATAGGGTCTACCATTCCTAATTGCCAAATTCTTTTGAGATGTTCTATCAAAAAGACATCTCCGTGAATGGATTGTTTTAACTAATGTCTTAACTATTCCCAAATGAGTCCTCAGAACCACCCCATCTATCTTGACTCTAGAAGAAACTAATAAAAAAGAAGAACAACAAAGAAACCCCACGCCATCTAGATAAAGGGAGAAGAGACACCTACAGCAGTACTTCTGTGCCTTTTCCTCACACTTGCACCTCCCTTAAATCGTATCAATCTTTTATCGTGTTGCACAAACTCCAGCTCATCCAGAAAGCCTTTCCCAACTCCTACAGCCCAATCTGATGCTCCCTTTTACTGAAATATTGTTGCTCTTACGGTCATACTTTCAAAGTTCATTTATTTATTTATTTCAGAAATATTGAACCCTACTGTATGCAAAGTGTGACACAAGGCATTAAGAATGCAAAGCTGAATTTGGCAGAAATCTGTTGGCAAGCCACAATGGAGTAGAGGAGGTGTGCTCTATAGAGAAATGTCCGTGTGAGAGGTTAACAGAGCTAAGAGCCGTAAAGTATACAATTAAAGTGCCGCAGAGTTTAGTGGACAGGAATATGAGATGGGGCAGGACCAGGAAAACCTTTACAGAGGAAGCACATTTTAATTGAGCCAAAGGATTTGAGAACTTAGAATTAGTTAGAGGATGTTCCAGATAAAGTAAATGGTTAGAACAAAGATGGGAAGATACAGAATCAAAGGGTGTAAAACCTTACAACCTGAGTTAAAGTGGATGGGAAAGGGCAAATGAGAGGTAGTTTAATTAATTACTTAATATGTAAGGGAATTGTTCTGCTCCTATAGATATGTCAATTCACAGAGTATTTATAGTGAATGATTTTTAAGTCGATGATTAGACTCAGAGGGTGATACAACAGGAATTGTTGATTTAAGAATTTTTAGGAGACACCCTATGCAACATCTCCCAAATCCGACAGCCACCACCTTATGGGGACCTAATTTGGGATTCTAGCTTTGAGGCTTCCACCAGCTCTGCCTGGTGTCCATAACTGCTGCTCTGCCTTAATTGCAGATATAAAATGAACCTGTGTAGAAAAGGGAATCTCTGCAGGGCCCAGAGGGGGCAGCTACTGGCTGAGGGAGCAGAGAGTGAAAGAAAAGAACCAGATGTTATGCCCCTTCCATAAACGTAATTTGAAAAGCTTTCCTTCTTCAATATCCCAGTACAGTCAAGTAACATTGGAAAAAATGATTCCTTGAAAGTTTAACACAATTTTTCCATTTTTTGGTGGGGATGGCGGAATGTTGGTGGTAGTGTAATGGAATGGAGTCCCTTTTTGAACAACTTTCTCTGTATCTTTTTCCCATAGTAATTAGCTTGTTTCAATTTTTTCAACTTTTCTCGAGCAAGTTTTCACATGATTTTTAATCATATTTTACCAATTATGTCCAATTTTTCAAAAAATATAGATTGGGGTAAAGTGACTTTGTAAGTACTTTTTAATCTTTTAATGTAATTGTGATTATTTTCCTTTATAAATTGTTGTTTTATACAGTTGTATTTTCTTTTTATTGATTGAATTAATAAAAAATTTAACAAGTTTATGTACCCCTTTTCCTACCCATAAAAGATTTCTTGAACTTGTTTATTAGCTCTGTATTTCTTTCTACTCAAGTTTTGCTTTTATTATGACTTTTCTTATGGTTCCTTTTCTAATGTCTTGATTGGATCATTTAATTCTTTCGTTGTTGTGGATATACTCATTTAAGGCTACGAATTCTTTTCTGAACACTGATTTAATCCATTTTTTAAAATGTGCTGCTGTCATTATCTCCTTTTTCTTCTCCTGCAGATATTCTTTAGTTTTAGTTTTCATTCTCTGTTTGGTCCAACCGTTTCTTAAGGATTTCTTTAAATATTGGATTTTATTTTTAAAATCATGTTTCTTTCCATTGGGCTGTGATCATATATCATTGTTTGTATTATTTGTTCTTTTGAAGTTTGCTGAATTTCTGGTTTTATATATGCTGTTTCTGGGCAGTAAATGTTTCATGGGCACTTTAAGGAAGGTGTACAATGTCAATTGGTTCTACCTCTTGAAAAATATTGAGGTTTTTATCGCCTTTATTCTGCCAACTTAAATTTATATGGACTGAAAGTCACTAAAATCCACTGTTACCCTGTTTCTGACTATTTCTCTTTGAACATCCTGTGCTTTTTGCTTTACGTATCAATGCTATATACTTAGGACATTCGTTTTCATACCTATTACATCTTCTTGCACCCCTTATAAAATGCTCTTCTTTTCCTCATTTACTGACTTTTTTGAATTCAAACACATTTTATATTAAGATTATGATCCCTGCTTTATTTTCGTTTACATCTGACTGGTATTCCTTTACCTTTCACCCTTTCTAATTAACTTGGTTTTGGCTGTATATTTTGGCATCAGCCTAGAGTTGTATTTTTTAGATCCAACCTGAAATTCTTTTCTTTTACTAGATGAGCTTGGCCCACTCGGCTTTATCATTGTAAGTGTGTTTGGTACTAATTTTGTTCTGTTATGTTATACTGTTTGCTTTTATTGTTTTGAAATAGCCTTTCACTGTAAGGGCTACATTTGTCTTTGTTTTGTATGCATCCTTCCTCTTATATTTTAGAAGATTTTTTTCTAGGGTTACTTTTATAACTGTAACTTTGTGTAGAGTTCCAATACTCTGTTTTTAGTCAGTGTCTACTAATTCCCTGGTATAAGCACAATGAAATTAGTATATTCCTGTTTCTTTTCCCTTTTCTCTCTCTCCTATACCATGTAATTTATTTGATTATGTTATATTAATCTTTCTTTTATACTGATTTGTGTACTTATACCCCCATTATGTAATTTATCAGGTTTAAATAATATCTTTTAACATTCAGCTATAGAAGATGAGGAAATCAACACATACGTCCTCCTATCTCCTTTTTTTGCTAATTATAAACATTTTACCTTTTGAGATTTTAAAAACATTTACACTTTCTTTCATACTTACAATTTTCACAAATGTTTTAGTCTTAGACCTATTGTTAAATACATTTAATATTAACCACCAGTTTATAGACTGCAGAGTTCCTATTTTTCTTTTTGTTGACTGAAGTCTGTTTCTTAAAAAAGCTTCTGTTAAAAAAAACAAACAAAACAAAACTCTGAAGTCTGCTTTCTTCAACAATGGCTAATGTTTGTAACTTTCCTTGAATTCTCAGATTGCCAACTTAACTTTATATATGAATATTATATTTGAATAATAGTCTAGATAGTTTCAACAATTTTGGATCACATTTCTTCCCCCGGAGACTGCAGGCATGTTCTTCATTACATTCCAACTTTGACTGTTACTTTGGAGAAATGATATGCTACCTTAATTTCTTTCCTTTAGAATTGACAGGATTTTGTTTGTTTGTCTGTTTTTTGACTAGGCTATCCATTTTTTTAATCATTGATATTCAGTGATACTCCAGTGGTATGTAACAATGCTGGCGTTCTGTATGAATGTTTCCTGGGACAAAGTGTACACTTTTGAATTGTAAAGTCAAGTGTTTCTGTAATTTTTTAATTAAAATTGAGTTTTAAATAATTGTTCTTTTCCACTTTTTTGATTTCCTCCTTTGGTAACTCGAATGTACATAGATTGGATCTCCTTTGTCTTTTCTCATATCTGTCATTTTCTCTCTTTTCTCATTGCATCTTGTCATCTTTTAAAATACTGTTCCTGCATCTGTCTAATTTTTTTCCATGTATTGTTTCTAATATTGGTTTTTTTGGTATAGTAATTTTACATTTCTTTAACATCTTTTCTTTCTTCTTCCAGCTCATATTTCTTATCTTTCTTGCAATCCCTTCCCTCAGCTCTTATATTTTTACTCTGTTTTCTTATTTTATACCAGAAAATGCCTCCTTAAGTTTTTTTTTTATTTTATTTTTAGAGAGGCCGAAATGTTGGGTAACAATTTTCTTTTTTATTGTTATTATTTTATTTTTTTAAGTTCTGGGGTACATGTGCAGGACATGCAGGTTTGTCACATAGGTAAACATGTGCCATGGTGGTTTGCTGCACCTATCACCCCATCACCTAGGTATTAAGCCCAGCATGCATTAGCTCTTTTCCCTAATGTTCTCGCCCTGGCCACCCTCCCATGACAGGCCCCAGTGTGTGTTGTTTCCCTGTCTGTGTACATGTATTCTCATTGTTCAGCTCCCACTTATAAGTGAGGGCATGCAGTGTTTGGTTTCCTGTTCCTGCATTAGTTTGCTGAGGATAATGGCTTCCAGCTTCATCCACATCCCTGCAAAGGACATGATCTCATTCTTTTTCATGGCTGCATAGTATTCCGTGGTGTATATGTACCACATTTTCTTTATCCAGTCTGTCATTGATGGGCATTTGGGTTGATTCCATGTCTTTGCCAGGTAACAGTTTTCATATGTTCATTGGCAACATTCTTTGATGGAGTGAATTTTGTCATCCATTTGTCTTTCTTGTTTATTTACCTCTTTTTTCTTGTAGAATCCTTGTTTATATGATGTGCAGGTTTGTTTTAATCCTTAAATGACATGAGTTTTTGCCAAACTAGATATTCACAAGATGCTTGTATCTTGCAAGTCTAAGACATGTTTCAGACTAGCAGGAACCTACCTTGTGATTCAGAATTGGAGGTAAATTATTTTAGCTTTTATTTGTGTGTAATGAATGCAGACAGGTAAATAGAACTGTTAGAACTGATGTATTTTTTTCTACCTTTTGCCTCCAGTTTTATGCTTTATCTATAGCCTGTGTACCTAAGTCTTCATTTAGCCTTTTCTCTGCTTCTTGAGTCCAATTCAGGGTCACAGAGGATTATGGTGCCATACTTTACACCATATACCCATTATTGCAAACAAGAGCTTTGGTTTTGTTTTTTGTTGATTGCCTCCCCCTACCCACCCTTTTTTTTTTTTTAAGAGAATTATACTCATTTAACTCTTATACAGTCATGGATTTCCTCTCTCTGCTTCTTGTCACTCTCCTATTTGATCTTTACTGTTCTTGAATCCATCCAATCTAGTTTATGGATTGGGGTTGTGGACACTTACTAGTTTCTTTGAAGATAGAATCTGTATGTTTATTTTTCTGCTTGTTTTGGAAAGAGATAAGTTCTGAGAAGAGAACATTTTGGATTTACTCGGCCATGTTCAAACCAGAAGTACACTTTTTGCTTATTTTTCCCAAGGGTTTGTCTTTCATAATCTTTACAAATAGGTTCTTGCAGCTGGGGGGCGGGTTGGAGGAGGGAGGTCCAGAGTGGTAATGTTACCTGTGCTTACGCCTGCAAATAAAGTTATTCAGGTAAATGTAGCGACAGAGTAAACAAGTGTAGTGTGGCCTAAGGAGCGCAAAATTCCTTACTTGTACAGAGGGAACGTGGCAGAGGGCCGGGCAAGTAGAAGGGGGTCTGTTTCTTTTTCTTGAGTAAATAAATTATTGGGAGGAGTGATTCTTTTCCTCCCTGGATGTTTCTTTGCAGGAACTCATGCAGCCAGAATCTGGGGCCAATGGAACAGTCATTGCTGAGTTCATCCTGCTGGGCTTGCTGGAGGCGCCAGGGCTGCAGCCAGTTGTCTTTGTGCTCTTCCTCTTTGCCTACCTGGTCACGGTCAGGGGCAACCTCAGCATCCTGGCAGCTGTCTTGGTGGAGCCCAAACTCCACACCCCCATGTACTTCTTCCTGGGGAACCTATCAGTGCTGGATGTTGGGTGCATCAGCGTCACTGTTCCATCAATGTTGAGTCGTCTCCTGTCCCGCAAGCGTGCAGTTCCCTGTGGGGCCTGCCTTACCCAGCTCTTCTTCTTCCATCTGTTCGTTGGAGTGGACTGCTTCCTGCTGACCGCCATGGCCTATGACCGATTCCTGGCCATCTGCCGGCCCCTCACCTACAGCACCCGCATGAGTCAGACAGTCCAGAGGATGTTGGTGGCTGCGTCCTGGGCTTGTGCTTTCACCAACGCACTGACCCACACTGTGGCCATGTCCACGCTCAACTTCTGTGGCCCCAATGTGATCAATCACTTCTACTGTGACCTCCCACAGCTCTTCCAGCTCTCCTGCTCCAGCACCCAACTCAATGAGCTGCTGCTTTTTGCTGTGGGTTTTATAATGGCAGGTACCCCCATGGCTCTCATTGTCATCTCCTATATCCACGTGGCAGCTGCAGTCCTGCGAATTCGCTCTGTAGAGGGCAGGAAGAAAGCCTTCTCCACATGTGGCTCCCACCTCACTGTGGTTGCCATATTCTATGGTTCAGGTATCTTTAACTATATGCGACTGGGTTCAACCAAGCTTTCAGACAAGGATAAAGCTGTTGGAATTTTCAACACTGTCATCAATCCCATGCTGAACCCAATCATCTACAGCTTCAGAAACCCTGATGTGCAGAGTGCCATCTGGAGGATGCTCACAGGGAGGCGGTCACTGGCTTGAGGAGGTCTCAATTGACCCTTTCTCCCTGTGTCTTGTACTAAAGGAAAAGTCTTCTAGAGCCAGAAACTAGGAAAAAAATGGTTCACACCTGTTTCTGTTTCATGGGCATAAGAAGGACTTTTTGTAGGGAATAATAGTTTTCATTTCTGAAAGCAGCCCTGTCCAATTATAAGCAATGAGTGTATAGGATCTGCCAAGCCAGCCCCTTAGACAAATTCAGCTTCAGGCACCGTGTTCTCTCCTTTCTGGCTAGAGGTGAAACCTAGGAAGCTGTGAGTGCTGACAGGTTCATGTTCCAGAAGGAATGACTCTTTGGTTGGTTACAGCCTTAGTTGCCAGAAGTACCCCAGAAAACTCCCCGCCAGAAGTCATATTTTTCCCTCAAGTTCAGGTGTGCTTGGTCTGTTTATAAAACATAGGTCTAGAGATTAGGATTGTTTTATTTCTCCCATCAGAACTCTAAAAGCAAAAATAAAACAAAAAGAAACAAAAACAAAAAAGTAGCTCTTTCTATTCCCATTAAACAAGGACCCCATAGCATAGACAGGGGACAGAGGGGAAGCTGTATGATTATGTATTCTCTAGTAATTCTGGAGCACCTGATACCTGTGTGCAGCTCACAGACTTGTTTCCAAATGCTAAAACTCCATTAATATGTATTATATATCTTATGTTACAAAAATGAATTTTCCTCATCTTTTTCTCCCATGTGTTTCAAATTTTTTGAAAAGATAAGAATTTATAATCTAAGCATTATTTACATATTTCAGAAAATCCAAGACTACTCAATATGAAAATTTCTCCAAAACTCTCACTCTTAGTCTCCAAACCTCCTTGCTGAGATAATCCATAACTATAAATGCAAGTCATATGGTGAGGAGTCACCCTGAATGTCCCTTCTCAGTAGGGGAGTGTGGCTCTGACCCAGAGCATTAGCTCAACTTGCTTGAAGTTAAACCAGCCATGATTTCGCTGTATCTTTTCAGCTTCCCATTTAGGACTCATTGCCCATTCCTGGCAACTCTGCTGTGCCACTGCTGTTTCCAAATGCATTTTCCTAAAACTTTCCTTTGACTGGCACCTGTGACTTGGCTTCTCTATAATATTTTATGGGGGTGAGGGATTGAATAGATGCAGTAAGATAGAGATAAAGAGAAAAGACACAAAAGAGGGAAGCAAAACAAGACTGGAGGAGGAGAGTTGGTAGGAAAATGAAGTGGAAAGATGAGGAATAGGGAGAACTGGGAGAGAATTGCAAGTGGAGGGGGTTAGGACCAAACGTGGTACACAGAATGGGAAATGAGAAAGAATGGAGGAATTGGATAAGATGCCTTGAGAGTATTGAAAGATCAGAGGAAGAAAGCGGGGGCATAAAATAAGTGGGTCACACATGAGAGATGTGGGCTTCCCATTCTATGTTTTCCAGCAATAACCAATTCCAGCACTCCTGATGCCATCATTGTAGTCCGTCTTCTCTACTAAGAAGGAAGTGATTGATATTTTAAGTTATGCTAAGTGTACAAAAAAAGTACACCAAGGACTCGTTTTCTCTTTCTCTAAACAGAGGTGCTCCTAGGATGTCAGGAAGAAGGTTTACTAGATGAGAAAACACAGAAGAAAAGAGTGCTGGGTATTTTCTCCAGCTACGTATCTAAAATGTCATCAAAATTTGTGACGAACTGCCCAACTTAACACTCCCTACCTTTTGAGTCATGCTGGCTGACGGCGTCAATAGACACAGGAAAAAGATGCCTTTTTCTGATTTATTGCATCATCAGACAAACTTCAGGGACACAAAGAGTGAGTCTTCTTCCAGGGTCAAGAAGACCGTTGGGGAAGACCTGGGATGTGGTTCTCATCTCATCCCTTCTCTCATTCACGACACGCTTGACCTTGAATAAGTTGATGAGTTCCTCTGGGTCTGTTCTTGACCAAAAGCACTAGGTTATATTAAGGTTCTTCCACTGCGAGATTTCTCTGAGTCTGTTAGTTTGAATGAATAGAAAGACTGTATCTGTTTACCCTGAGGGAGCTACCACACCTTCCACCATCACTTCTTTGGCTACATTTAACCCCTGCAGCAAAACTGAGCCTGCTGTTTATCTCCAAAGATCTGGTGCCTCTGGCATTTCTTCAGCTGGCTCTTTACTTCAAGCCTCAAGGAGAGATTTCGGTCTTGGCCTTGCCACTAGGGTGGAATGGAGCCACTGGGTCCAGCATCATAGACAATGGCCAAAGGCCTGATTCCCAGGTCCCTGTTCACCCTCCAGGATCACACGGTTTCTTTATCAATTTGGGAGATTCCATTTCATTTGGAATTTTTCTCCCCTTTTATATTTCAAACTGGAAATCTCCTTGCTACTTAAAAATTCTATTATCCATGTAATACATCATGTTGTAAATGTACAAACAGTACAGAACATCACCACCCTTCCGCACCATCCGCACAGTAATCTTATCTTTAAAAGTAACTACTGTTAATAGTTTCATGTTTAGCTTTCCAAATGAACACACACAAACACACACTCACACACACAAACACACCCACATTCAAAACCATACTGTGTTGTAATCTGACTTTTCTCTGTCTATATTGCATAGTATAATTCTTACATGTGAGCCTACAAATCTATCTTACCCATTTTAAAGGCTGCATAATATTCCATTTATGTAAAATTATAATCTATTTAACCACACCCCATTGATGTAATTTAGTTCCTATTTTTGCGACTGCCAATAATACTGAGATTAGTATTTATATATATAGCTGAGTATCTGAAATTATTTCCAGTGGCTAAGTTCATGAACGTAGTTTGTGTGTTTGTGTATAAGTACGTGTTCACTATCAGAAATACAAATGCAAAGTTAAAGTTTAATAAGTATTCTGCCTTTGTATTTGCCAAAAAATGTACAGCATTTTACATCCAGATTGGCAGTGTATGCAAATGCTTGTTGCTTCACATCTTTGACCTCATTGGATGTTATATATATATCTTTTTATATTTGAAAACTAGATGAAATACTGTATTATTTTTAATTTGAATTTCTTTGATTATGGGTGTGGTTGAACACATTTTTATGTACAGTCATGTGTCACTCTACAACGGGGATACATTCTGAGAAATGCATTGTTAGGTGATTGTGTTGTGCAAACATCGCTTACCCCTGTGTAAGAATGTACTTGCACAAACCTAGGTGGTATGGCCTACTGAACACCTAGGCTATATGAAATAGCCTGTTAATAGCCTATTGCTGTGACCACTGCCATGTATGCAGGCTTTGTTGACCAAAACATCATTATACAGCTCATAACTGTATTTATTTGTTATTTGTATTTCTTCTTTGCAGATTTCTTTTTCTTTTTTTGTCTTTTTTTTTTTTTTTTTTTGCCCTTTTGGTGATAGTTTATCTTTTTGTAAATGATTGGTAGAAACCTTTTCTGTTTTAAAATGGTAATTCTTTGCCATATATGTTGCTAACATATTTCCTAATTTCCCATTTGTCTTTAATTTTGTTTAGAGTAACTGCTGCCCAAATTAATTTTATATTTTATGACCTTTATCTTCTTTGTTTTATGTCATGCTTAGGAAAAAGAGCTTTTTCATCTAAATGCTGTATAAATATGTGTCTGATGTTTTTCTAGTATTTTTACATTTCTTTTTAAGTCAAATATTTAATATATTTAGAGCTTATTGTTATGTATGCTCTAATTTTTTCCTAGTAGATAACAATTGTCTCAACACAATAATTTTATTATAAAATTTAATATAAGCTCGATTACATATACAGTATATTGATATTATATATATATAATAGAAAAACATAAATTCAGCAAAAGTAAAAATATTTTAACTGAGACCAATGCTGCCACCCACGAAGCAAGTTTGCAGTTCAAGCCTCGCCAAGAGAATTACCTATCAAACATGGGAAATGACACGTGATAAATAATGTAATTGAGAATCTCCAGCAGAACTGAATATTCGTAATGTCCAGGATACAGTCCAGAATTAATATATGAAGAATCAAGAAAATGCAACACATTCTCCAGAGAAAAGAAAATCCAGCAAGTCCAACTCTGAAATGAACTAGATGTTGACACTAACAGACGAAAATTTTAAATGGCTGTTATAATTACCCCAAATTAGGTAAAAAATTAAACATGTTTTCAAGGAATGAAAATCTCAGCAGAGATATAGACACAATACCGCGTACACATGGATGCAGAGTGGAAGGATAGACAATGGAAAATCAGAAATGGGAGTGGGTGGGAGGGGGGTGGATGATGAGAATAAATTACTTAATGGGTACAATGTGCATTATTTGAGTGATGGGAACCCTAAACACCCTGACCTGACCACTCTGCACTCTGTGGATGTATCAGAAATGTGGGTGGGTAGGAGGGGGGTGGATGATGAGAAATTACTTAATTAGTACAGTGTACATTATTTGAGTGATGTCCCCATCCCAAGATCTCAAACTTTAAAGTCTCCTTTACCATATAAAGTAGATTCCAGGGTTTAGGTTGGATATCTCTGGGGCCCATTCTTCTACCTACCACAAGATGGATTAAAGACTTAAATGTAAGACCTAAAACCATAAAAACCCTAGAAGAAAATCTAGGCAATACCATTCAGGACATAGGCATGGGCATGGACTTCATGTCTAAAACACCAAAAGCAATGGCAACAAAAGCCGAAACTGACAAATGGGATCTAATGAAAGAGCTTCTGCACAGCAAAAGAAACTACCATCAGAGTGAACAGGCAACCTACGGAATGGGAGAAAATTTTTGCAATCTATCCATCTGACAAAGAGCTAATATCCAGAATCTACAAAGAACTTAAACAAATTTACAAGAAAAAACAACCCCATCAAAAAGTGAGCGAAGGATATGAACAGACACTTCTCAAAAGAAGACATTTATGCAGCCAACAAACATGAAAAAAATCTCGTCATCACTGGTCATTAGAGAAATGCAAATCAAAACCACAATGAGATACCATCTCACACCAGTTAGAATGGCTATCATTAAAAAGTCAGGAAACAACAGGAAACAATAGATGCTGGAGAGGATGTGGAGAAATAGGAATGCTTTTACACTGTTGGTGGGAGTGTAAACTAATTCAACTATTGTGGAAGACAGTGTGGCGATTCCTCAAGGATCTAGAACTAGAAATACCATTTGACCCACCAATCCCCTTACTGAGTATATACCCAAAGGAATATAAATCATTCTACTATAAAGACACATGCACATGTATGTTTATTGTAGCACTGTTCACAATATCAAAGACTTGGAACCAAGCCAAATGCCCATCAGGGACAGACTGGATAAAGAAAATGTGGCACATATATACCATGGAATACTATGCAGCCATAAAAAAGGATGAGTTCATGACCTTTGCAGGGACATGGATGAAGCTGGAAACCATCATTCTCAGCAAACTAACACAAGAACAGAAAACCAAACACCACATGTTCTCACTCATAAGTGGGAGTTGAATAATGAGAACACATGGACGCAGGGACGGGAAGACCACACACCAGGGCCTCTTGGGGGGTGGGGGGCAAGGGGAGGGATAGCATTAAGAGAAATACCTAATGTAGAAGACAGGTTGATGGGTGCAGCAAACCACCATGGCACACGTATACCTATGTAACGAACCTGCACATTCTGCACATGTACCCCAGAACTTAGAGTATATTTAAAAAGAGAAAATCTACTTCATAGAATTGTGAAGACTGAGACTCCAGGCTTGTTGTGTTCTTAGCATGTTACCATGTACATGACAAACACTCATAAATGGTTCCTGTTTGTCTGTGTTTGTTTTGTTGTTGTTGTTGTTTGGGAGGGATTCTCACTCTATAGCCCAGGCTGCAGTGCAGTGGTGCGATCACGGCTCACTGCAGCCTCCACCTCCTGGGCTCAAGCGATCCTTTCATTTCAGCCTCCAGAGTAGCTGGGACTACAGGCCCGCACCACTGTGCCTGACAAATTTTTGTTATTTTTTGTAGAGATGGGGTTTTACCATGTTACCCAGGCTGGTTTTGAACTTCTGGGCTCAAGCGATCCCCGCCTCAGCCTCCCAGAGTGCTAAGATTACAAGTTTGAGTCACCACACACAGCCACAGATACTCATAATTGTTATCAATTCATATGTAGATAAATTGTTGAACCTCTATTAGCAACTTAATGAATGTAATGTTCACAGCAGTGCTCTGTGAGGAAGGATATCTCATTTTACAGATGAGGAAACTGAGGCCCCAAAACTGACTTTGCAGCTTGTACAAAGTCAAACCACTAATAATCAGAAGAACAGGTTTGTCTATTCTGCTTTTTCTACTGCACCACAACTCCCTGGTGGGAGAAGAAGGAGCCCTCTCTCTTAGGCGAGGGAATGTTAGTGGGAAGAGGAGTCAGAGGAACACACGCCTACATCTTCCCACAGCTTCTGTTCATTAACCTGCCACCTTCACCAGGCCTCTCAATTCCTCAGGGCCGGACTTAGAAAATCATGTTGATAGGCACCTTCCCAGTAGTCCTGCTAGCATCATAGGGCTCATCTCCCACCACCTCTAGAATCATTATAGGATCCCCAAGACACAGTCCAAGTGTCCCCCACTAACAAGTCCCCAGGAGAGAAAGCGCCTCACTACTGAGGGCTCAACAGGAAACCGGCTTTGAAGAAAGCTTTTCCCTCTTATCTCCCTTCTGGGGCCTCCTCCTACCTCCCCAGGTCCAAGACAAGTTCAGGAATTGGCTTGTTTCTGCTCAAATGCCCTGGTTGATATCTGGGAAAGAAAATATCCCCTTAGAAAGCCCATATAGAGTCTCCAGCTGCACCTCTCCCTTCCTGGGGGACTTTGAGGACATAGGCAAGTCCTGTAGGCCTCAGTGACCCACATTAAGCAGAGCGGACATCATCTGCCGTAACAACCTGCCCACAAAGCCAGGGCTAGAGGCAAAGCCTTCCTTGTGAGAAAGTCTAAATACCAGAAGGGGTGAGGCATCGTTGCCATGAGTATGAAGGGCCTGAGGTGTCTCCTTTTCCGTGTCTCTCCCCCCATCCTTCTCTCTCCTAGGAGAGCCAGTTTCTGAGTGCCCCAGAGGAGAATGCTGTAGTGAACACAGCCCTGTACAGAGAAGACAGCAGCTTGATTCCTCTCATTTCTCAGTCATTAGCCCCTCACTCGCTCTCCGGGAGGATAACGGGGTGTGCGCAGCTCCTCCCCTTCTTTCCTGAAGAAACCTCAGTGGCTTCCGTGCCCTTGCCAGGGTGAGTGTTCTCCTGAGTCCTTCCTCTGCTCCTGCAAGATAGAGAAGGGGCTTCTGTTGCCATCAGCTTAGTAAGCCTGGTGCGATGGATGCCCCTGACAGGGAAAGCCATTTAGGGGAAGACCTGGCACTACAGCCCGGAGGTCCTGGGTTCTTTTGTGGTTTTCCCCGTGCTCGCCTCTCTCAGATGAAGCCTGCTGCCTGTTAGCATGAGTGTGAGGAGACTCGCTCAGACCAGTTCACTGCCCGCACCCACTGCATCAGGCAGCGGGGAACCCTCGCTCCAGCGAAGTCCTTGAGCCTCGTCATGTTGGGCGCGTGAGGGATGGGCTGGAGTTCCAGAGCAGGGAGCTGTCACAGCTCGTAAGGGGAGCCTCGAGAGTGGTCGTGCAGGAGGGCTCCCCAGTGGGCCTCGTGGGGACCCTGTCAGACCCTCTGGATGTCTCGGTGACCTGAGGTCATCCCAGAATCCCCCTGGTTTTAAGCAATTGTATCTCTAGCTGTCTGAGGGTTGGCAACAGCTGTTTAGTGGTTCTTCTACCCCTGACCATGACTTACTTGTCTGTAAGGTGTGGCCCCTCCTAAGGGCCGTATTGTTTTGGGAGGTTTAAGTAAAAAGAAGATGTGGACTGGTCCATGACCTGCTTGTCCTGTTAACACAGAGGAGTCCCTGCCACAGCCTTGAACCCTGCACTTAACCTGGACCTCCCCTAAAGCACACTAAGCCATGACAAATTCCAGTGTGTCCAGAAAGTCTTCCCTGAGAACTCTAGCTCATACTGATGATATCGTACACATTTTAACCATCCATTTATTTAAGAAATATTGGATACCGGCCGGGCGCAGTGACTTACGCCTGTAATCCCAGCACTTTGGGAGGCTGAGGTGGGCGGATCACCTGAGGTCAGGAGTTCGAGACCAGCCTGATCAACATGGAGAAACCCTGTCTCTACTAAAAATACAAAGTTAGCTGGGCGTGGTGGCGCATGCCTGTAATCCCAGCTACTCAGAAGGCTGAGGCAGGAGAATCGCTTGAACCCAGGAGGCAGAGGTTGCAGTGAGCCGAGGTCATGCCATTGTACTCCAGCCTGGGCAAAAAGAGCAAAACTCTGTCTCAAAAAAAGAGAAAAATATGAAATATTGGGTACCTATGTGTAAAGTGTTATGATGATTATTGCTATTGAAAATGAATCAAACATATTCTGTCCTCAAGTCACTTACAGAGACAGACTCTATAAAGAAGTGACTCACCCAAAATGTAAACAGTCATAAATTCCAAGAAATGGTGTATATTGATAGTTTAGGGGGTGAGGAGAGAGAGAGAGAGAGAAAGAGACAGAAGAGGAGAGCAGAAGAGAGGAAGAAGGAGAGAGAGATTCTTTTTAGATGGAGAAGTTTCAAGGAAGGATTAATTCATCAGTCAGCATTTGAGTCAAGTTGTGAAATATCTGGGCATGTGCCGTTGGAGGGAAACCATTGCAGGTGGGGAAAACAGCATGAGCAAGGAGCTGGAAGATCACAGGGTTGCTGTCCAATGCTTCTGTTAAAATGGACCTGACAGGAAAAAGGGAAGTAGTCAACTATCCTTTAATATAACATATGTAAAGAGCTATCACCCTTTGATTTGTTGATTTGCAAAGCATTATCAGTTACCACCTCTGTCAGTGATAATCAGGCCAGAGGATGATTTCTGCCCTCCTCCAAGTCATGTGATCTTAGAACTTTAAGGACCTCTTGGAGATCACCGCATCCACATTCTCACCCATGTGGCATCCCCTCTGCAGCTTCCCCGTGGCCTGAGCACACACAGTGGAGACCTCATTTGGAAGGCTGGTCATCGAGACAGCCTCACATTGGAGACATCCCCTTGCTGTAGAGACTCCAGTGAGATGCACGTTATCCACATGAAACTGCGGGTCAGTCTTTAGAGACTATCTTGACTCTTTTTTTTGAGACAGAATCTCAGACGGAGTCGCCCAGGCCGGAGTGCAGTGGCGCGATCTCAGCTCACTGCAACCTCCGCCTCCCGGGTTCAAGTGATTCTCCTGCCTCAGCCTCCGGAGTAGCTGGAACTACAGGTGCCCACCACCACACCTGGCTAATTTTTTGTATTGAATGGGGTTTCACCGTGTTAGCCAGGATGGTGTCAATCTCCTGACCTCGTGATCCACCCACCTCAGCCTCCCAAAGTGCTGGGATTACAGGTGTGAGCCACTGCACCTGGCTGAGATTACCTTGATTCTAAGCGTAGGTGGAGGAGTCTTTGTGGAAGTGGCTGGATCACCTAAAAGGGCTGGTGACCTTCATGTCCGGTATGGAGAAAAACAATGAAGAGGGAAACAAGCCATCATCATGCCTCCCAGGCTGCAAATCTGGCAGAGTTCTCTGTCCTGGCTGGGCATTAGAACCACCTGGGAGGCGCTAAGGAAACACCCATACCCAGGTACCACCAATTAAACCAATTAAATCAAAATTCTTGGTGAAAGGCCTGAGCATCAGTATTTTCTTCTTAAAGCATCCCAGGTGATTCCAATAAGCATGGGGACTAAGAATCTAATTTAACAGAGTTGGAAATCGAGGCTGGAAATACCACCAAACCTTTGCAAGGTATCTTAAATTTTTGTAACTTTTCTGTGTGTCATTTTATAAAGTATTTCCTGCTCTCCCTTCAGGGTTATCAGTAAAAGTAAAATGAGAAAACAAAACAAACAAACAAAACTCTTAATTTGAGGGGGTGGCAAGAAAGAGCTAGTCGTTGGAAGTATCTGCTCAGTTAAATGCTAAGACAGCAGTGATCAGGTGGGTGCTTTGAAAAATGCTGATGCTGCCGGGCGCGGTGCCTCACGTCTGTAATCCCAGCACTTTGGGAGGCTGAGGCGGGTGGATCACAAGGTCAAGAGATCGACACCATCCTGGCCAACATGGTGAAACCCCATCTCTACTAAAAATACAAAAAAATTAGCTGGGCGTGGTGGTGCATGCCTGTAGTCCCAGCTACTGAGGAGGCTGAGGCAGGAGAATCTCTTGAACCTGGGAGGCGGAGGTTGCAGTGAGCCGAGATCGTGCCACTGCACTCCAGCCTGGTGACAGAGGGAGACTCCATCTCAAAAAAAAAAAAAAAAATCCTGATGCCTGGGTATTATCTTGGGAGATTCTGATTTAATCGGCCTGTGGGTAAATTCTGGACAACAGGAGTTTTGGGGGCTCCCACATAAATCTAATGTGCAGCCAAGGTTGATACTGGCTGTAAGTCACTTGTTCCAGGATTGTGAGTACATTTTCCCTTGACTTCCCTAGTCAGTGCTCACCAGAGGCTGAGGAACTGCTGATAATGCCGGCTTCTTGCTTTTAAAGTCCCACCTAAACACTGCACAGTCAGCCTGCCCGGATGGCTTCTCATTCACTCCTGCCTCTTCTGCTTTCCAGATCTTAGTGAGACCAGTTAAGACCGTGCCACCAACCCGTGCACTCAATTCCCACTTTTATGAACAAAGGATTTAAACATCATTTTGGTGACCACACCCCTAGGCAGTCATATCAGTCATACTGCTGCTACAGCATTTCTGATTTCTGGAACCTCCTTAATCATTCCTGCCTCTGCATTTCACTGCCCCAGCTCAGGCAATCATCACTGTTCCCCTCCAGCTGCTTCCCATCCTCTGATTCCAGTCTATTCTATGCAAGGGAGTAACATTGCTTTTAAAGAACCTCTGGCCTGGCTTATTCCATGGGCAATAGAGACATTGATGTTTTTTGATCTGGAGTAGGATATAAAATCTGAAAGATGGGCTGGGCGCAGTGCCTCACGCCTGTAATCCCAGCACTTTGGGAGGCCGAGGCGGGCGGATCACCAGGTCAGGAGATCGAGACCATCCTGGCTAACACGGTGAAACCCCGTCTCTACTAAAAATACAAAAAAATTAGCCGGGCGTGGTGGTGGGCGCCTGTAGTCCCAGCTATTCAGGAGGCTGAGGCAGGAGAATGGCGTGAACCCAGGAGGCGGAGCTTGCAGTGAGCCGAGATCGCGCCACTGCACTCCAGCCTGGGTGACAGAGCAAGACTCTGTCTCAAAAAAAAAAAAAAAATCTGAAAAATGACTTCAGCGTGGTTTTCCAAGTACATGCCTTCGTCATTTCAGGATGTATCATTAGAGCCATTGGTCAACCTACCGTGCCTAAGTCAAGGACAAGGGAAGGACAGTGACTGTGCAATGCAGAATGTAACTGCACCTGGCGGCAACCAACCCACAGGCTATGACCACAACTTTGGTTTTAGAGAGGAATAGCAGATAATACACACAGAAAAACATCATTTTACAGTAAGTCATTAGTCAAAGTCCATTGTAGGGGCTTAAGTAACAATAACATTAACAATTTATTGAACAAGAAATGTTGAGTTGATACTTCAGAGTGTGGTCCCTCACCTTGAAGAAATGTACTTGGCTGGTCTTTCTGATATCCACAATCATGAATACCTTCTCTCTGATTCTTGCTACAGCTTTGCTTGACCTTTATTATGTCTAGAAGCCTTTAAACCTAGGTGTTTTTGTTTTGTTTTGTTTTGTTTTGTTTGAGATGGAGCCTCGCTCTGTCACCCAGGCTGGAGTACAATGGTGCAGTCTTGGCTCACTGCAACCTCCACGTCTCGGGTTCAAGCGATTCTCCTGCCTCAGCCTACTGAGTAGCTAGGATTACAAGTGCCCCCCACCACACGAAGCTAATTTTTGTAGTAGAGATGTGGTTTCACCATGTTGGACAGGCTGGTCTCAAACTCCTGATCTCAGATGATGCACCCGCCTTGGCCTCCCAAACTGCTGGGATTACAGGCGTGAGCCACCACGCCCAGCCTGGGTTATGTTTTTAAATGCATTCTACTTTCTCTGGATTTCTATTTTGAAACCTGCTTATTAGTTTGGGATGATCCCTCAGAGAGCAATAGGAAAACTTCATCTAAATCTAACTATATTCATAGAGGAAGCCTTGTATGTTTTTTAAAACAAAGTTTTTGTCTATATTTAAGGTACAGAACATGATGTTATGAGATACTTGTAGTTAGTAAAATGGTTACTATAGTGAAACAAATTAACATATTCATCATCTCACATAGTTACCCATTTCCCCCCTGTGGCGAGGACAGCTGTAATCTACTCAGCAAAAATCCTGAATGCAATACACTTTATTAACTATAGTTCTCATGTTGTTCCAGGTATTCTGACCTTTTCAGCTAGCAGAGGATGAGGAGGACAAGGTGGTGGTGTCATTGGGCATGTCAACCAAGAGCAAGGTAAAGGCATTGAGGTGATGGAGGAGGTCAACGAGTGAGGGATGGCCTGGGGACTCGCCACGGGGCTTTGAACATAAATGGTTTAAAATATTAATGTTGAATAAGTGAACTGAGTGAACTGATACCTCCCCTGCTGGGACATGTCCTTACAGAAACTCATGGAGCCAGAAGCTGGGACCAATAGGACCGCTGTTGCTGAGTTCATTCTACTGGGCCTAGTGCAAACAGAAGAGATGCAGCCAGTTGTCTTTGTGCTCCTCCTCTTTGCCTATCTGGTCACAACTGGGGGCAACCTCAGCATCCTGGCAGCCGTCTTGGTGGAGCCCAAACTCCACGCCCCCATGTACTTCTTCCTGGGGAACCTGTCAGTGCTGGATGTCGGATGTATCACTGTCACTGTTCCTGCAATGTTGGGTCGTCTCTTGTCCCACAAGTCCACAATTTCCTATGACGCCTGCCTCTCCCAGCTCTTCTTCTTCCACCTTCTGGCTGGGATGGACTGCTTCCTGCTGACCGCCATGGCCTATGACCGACTCCTGGCCATCTGCCAGCCCCTCACCTACAGCACCCGCATGAGTCAGACAGTCCAGAGGATGTTGGTGGCTGCGTCCTTGGCTTGTGCCTTCACCAACGCACTGACCCACACTGTGGCCATGTCCACGCTCAACTTCTGTGGCCCCAATGAGGTCAATCACTTCTACTGTGACCTCCCACAGCTCTTCCAGCTCTCCTGCTCCAGCACCCAACTCAATGAGCTGCTGCTCTTTGCTGTGGGTTTCATCATGGCAGGCACACCTTTGGTTCTCATCATCACTGCCTACAGCCACGTGGCAGCTGCAGTTCTACGAATCCGTTCAGTGGAGGGCCGAAAGAAGGCCTTCTCCACGTGTGGCTCCCACCTCACCGTGGTTTGTCTTTTCTTTGGAAGAGGTATCTTCAACTACATGAGACTGGGTTCAGAGGAGGCTTCAGACAAGGATAAAGGGGTTGGAGTTTTCAACACTGTTATCAACCCTATGCTGAACCCTCTTATCTACAGCCTCAGAAACCCTGATGTTCAGGGTGCTCTGTGGCAAATATTTTTGGGGAGGAGATCACTGACCTGAGAGGTAATGGGGTCCCTCCTTTCCTGCCTTTTCTGGACTGAGGAAAATTTCCCATGAAGACAGTAACCAGGAAAAATTCAGCCACAACTATTTTTCCTATCTCCTGATGCTTGAAGATCGGTGTTACATATTTGTCCTACTAGGAAACCCTACATAATTTATTCATTCAACAAATACTTATTAGAGTACCTCTATGATCTGGACAGTCTTCCAAGGCATTGGTGGACAAAATGGACAAAAGTCTCTGCACTCATGCAACTCACATGCTATAAAAGTAGACAAAGTAAATAAGCATCATATATACCACATGATGATAGTTTCTATAGAGATGAACAAAGATGTTAATATGAAGTCAGGTTCTGCCAAGCAAGCCCTGTGCAAGTTTTACCCTGTTTTTGGCTGTGCCTACTTTCTGGATAGAGTTAAAGCCTTGTAGTTCTGTGTGCCTGGCAAGCAGCATTCTACAAAGAATGTCCAGTCGGTCAATCACAGCCTAAGTGACCAAAAGTATTTCTGCAATATTTCTGGTGAGGACATGAGATTCCCTGCAGATCAGAATAGGGGAAAATTTTTTGTTTGTTTCTTTGTTTTGTTTTGTTGTTGTTTTGTTAAAAACTTGTTAAAAAGTTTTTTAAAAAAACCAAAACCATAGGCCTAGTGCAATGGATTATTTCATTCATTTGTTTGCCTTTCACCTTCATTTTCTTCTCTCCGCTACCACAAAAGAATCCTGCTGGATGTTGACTGGGCGCAGGGTGGCTGACGCCTGTAATCCCAGCACTTTGGGAGGCCGAGGCGGATGGATCACGAGGTCAGGAGATCGAGACCATCCTGACTAACATAGTGAAACCCCTTCTCTACTATAAATACAAAAACAAAATTAGCCGGTGTAGTGGTGGGCGCCTGTAGTCCCAGCTACTCGGGAGGCTGAGGCAGGAGAATGGCGTGAACCTGGGGGGCGGAGCTTGCAGTGAGCCGAGATAGCGCCACTGCACTCCAGCCTGGGCGACAGAGCAAGACTCCGTCTCAAAAAAAAAAAAAAAAAGAATCCTGCTGGATGTTTAGGGAACAGGAAAGGTCTAGAGAGGAAAAGAGCCCACTAAATTAAAACTACGTTCATACATATATGATATATCTTAAGGTCATAAAAGGAAGGTTTCATCTCCATTCCCTGCCATGCCTTTTTCTCTCATTTAATGTTACCTTCCTCACACATATGATAAAGTTTTTGAAAGAGTAAATGTTTGTATTACAATCAGGTCCTTAGAATTTTCAATGTAGAATATCCAATATAACCTTCTCCTCCAAAGTCTTACTTAGCTCTCTCAAAGCTCCTTGCTTAGAAAATACATACCCATAAATGTAGTTCCTGGAAAGGAGGGATGCATGCATGCCTGTCTTCCTTCCTTCCCAGTGTAAATATATTTATTTTAAAAATTATTCAGAATGTTATACCTAATAGTGGAAACATTCAGACGATATTATTTTGTCAAGTAGGAAATAAAAATCCAAATGTTCCTTCACTGCACCAAAAATCACACTGTTCAGAGTTTACGCCTCTGACAATTGTTGTGTTTTTTCCTCTAGCGATTTCCTGTATATATGATATGCCCGTTTCACATCAGTAGAACCATACTGTTCTGTGATCTGCTTCCTGTTTTTCCTGCATATTGTGCCATACAATCTTTTACATAATGAAGACTAACATCCTGCTTTATCTGTTTTAATGGTGGCACAGTATATCATTAAACATGTAAGTCACAATTTCTTTCATTAAACCTCTATTTCTATAATTTGGGTTATTTTCAATTGTTTTGCAACAACAATGTTGTGATGAATATTCTTTTTTTTTTCTTTTTTTTTCTTTTTTTTTTTAAATTATATTTTAAGTTTTAGGGTACATGTGCACATTGTGCAGGTTAGTTACATATGTATACATGTGCCATGCTGGTGCGCTGCACCCACTAACTCGTCATCTAGTATTAGGTATATCTCCCAATGCTATCCCTCCCCCCTGCCCCCACCCCACCACAGTCCCCAGAGTGTGATATTCCCCTTCCTGTGTCCATGTGATCTCATTGTTCAATTCCCACCTATGAGTGTGAATATGCGGTGTTTGGTTTTTTGTTCTTGTGATAGTTTACTGAGAATGATGATTTCCAATTTCATCCATGTCCCTACAAAGGACACGAACTCATCATTTTTTATGGCTGCATAGTATTCCATGGTGTATATGTACCACATTTTCTTAATCCAGTCTATCATTGTTGGACATTTGGGTTGGTTCCAAGTCTTTGCTATCGTGAATAATGCCGCAATAAACATACGTGTGCATGTGTCTTTATAGCAGCATGATTTATAGTCATTTGGGTATATACCCAGTAATGGGATGGCTGGGTCAAATGGTATTTCTAGTTCTAGATCCCTGAGGAATCGCCACACTGACTTCCACAATGGTAGAACTAGTTTACAGTCCCACCAACAGTGTAAAAGTGTTCCTATTTCTCCACAACCTCTCCAGCACCTGTTGTTTCCTGACTTTTTAATGATTGCCATTCTAACTGGTGTGAGATGATATCTCATTGTGGTTTTGATTTGCATTTCTCTGATGGCCAGTGATGATGAGCATTTTTTCATGTGTTTTTTGGCTGCATAAATGTCTTCTTTTGAGAAGTGTCTGTTCATGTCCTTCGCCCACTTTTTGATGGTGTTGTTTGTTTTTTTCTTGTAAATTAGTTTGAGTTCATTGTAGATTCTGGATATTAGCCCTTTGTCAGATGAGTAGGTTGCGAAAATTTTCTCCCATTTTGTAGGTTGCCTGTTCACTCTGATGGTAGTTTCTTTTGCTGTGCAGAAGCTCTTTAGTTTAATTAGATCCCATTTGTCGATTTTGTCTTTTGTTGCCATTGCTTTTGGTGTTTTGGACATGAAGTCCTTGCCCATGCCTATGTCCTGAATGGTAATGCCTAGGTTTTCTTCTAGGGTTTTTATGGTTTTAGGTCTAACGTTTAAATCTTTAATCCATCTTGAATTGATTTTTGTATAAGGTGTAAGGAAGGGATCCAGTTTCAGCTTTCTACATATGGCTAGCCAGTTTTCCCAGCACCATTTATTAAATAGGGAATCCTTTCCCCATTGCTTGTTTTTCTCAGGTTTGTCAAAGATCAGATAGTTGTAGATATGCGGCATTATTTTTGAGGGCTCTGTTCTGTTCCATTGATCTATATCTCTGTTTTGGTACCAGTACCATGCTGTTTTGGTTACTGTAGCCTTGTAGTATAGTTTGAAGTCAGGTAGTGTGATGCCTCCAGCTTTGTTCTTTTGGCTTAGGATTGACTTGGCGATGCGGGCTCTTTTTTGGTTCCATATGAACTTTAAAGTAGTTTTTTCCAATTCTGTGAAGAAAGGCATTGGTAGCTTGATGGGGATGGCATTGAATCTGTAAATTACCTTGGGCAGTATGGCCATTTTCACGATATTGATTCTTCCTACCCATGAGCATGGAATGTTCTTCCATGTGTTTGTATCCTCTTTTATTTCCTTGAGCAGTGGTTTGTAGTTCTCCTTGAAGAGGTCCTTCACATCCCTTGTAAGTTGGATTCCTAGGTATTTTATTCTCTTTGAAGCAATTGTGAATGGGAGTTCACTCACAATTTGGCTCTCTGTTTGTCTGTAGAAGAAATGGATAAATTCCTCAACACATACACTCTCCCAAGACTAAACCAGGAAGAAGTTGAATCTCTGAATAGACCAATAACAGGAGCTGAAATTGAGGCAATAATCGACAGTTTACCAACCAAAAAGAGTCCAGGACCAGATGGATTCACAGCTGAATTCTACCAGAGGTACAAGGAGGAACTGGTACCATTCCTTCTGAAACTATTCCAATCAATAGAAAAAGAGGGAATCCTCCCCAACTCATTTTATGAGGCCAGCATCATTCTGATACCAAAGCCAGGCAGAGACACAACCAAAAAAGAGAATTTTAGACCAATATCCTTGATGAACATTGATGCAAAAATCCTCAATAAAATACTGGCAAACCGAATCCAGCAGCACATCAAAAAGCTTATCCACCATGATCAAGTGGGCTTCATCCCTGGGATGCAAGGCTGGTTCAATATACGCAAATCAATAAACGTAATCCAGCATATAAACAGAGCCAAAGACAAAAACCACATGATTATCTCAATAGATGCAGAAAAAGCCTTTGACAAAATTCAACAACCCTTCATGCTAAAAACTCTCAATAAATTAGGTGTTGATGGGACGTATTTCAAAATAATAAGAGCTATCTATGACAGACCGACAGCCAATATCATACTGAATGGGCAAAAACTGGAAGCATTCCCTTTGAAAACTGGCACAAGACAGGGATGCCCTCTCTCACCACTCCTATTCAACATAGTGTTGGAAGTTCTGGCCAGGGCAATTAGGCAGGAGAAGGAAATAAAGGGTATTCAATTAGGAAAAGAGGAAGTCAAATTGTCCCTGTTTGCAGACGACATGATTGTATATCTAGAAAACCCCATTGTCTCAGCCCAAAATCTCCTTAAGCTGATAAGCAACTTCAGCAAAGTCTCAGGATACAAAATCAATGTACAAAAATCACAAGCATTCTTATACACCAACAACAGACAAACAGTGATGAATATTCTTACAGTGCTGTCTTTCCAAATCTCTAGAATTAGTTCGCTGCGATTAATTCTTATGAATAACTTTATCAGATTAAAGGATGTGCAAATACACATTTTGAGATATGCATACACACCTTTCTTAATTTTTGAAACTTTTGCACCAGCTTATAAATTCACTGAATTATGATAGTGTCTGTTTACTCACATCCCTACTATCAAGGGCTATTATAAATAGTGTCTTTAATTTTTACAATCTGAAAGTTGAAAAATTATAGTATTTTAATTGAATTTTTTCTAGGTTTATTGGAGTATGATTAAGAAATAAAAAATTGTACCTATGCTATAAAGCATGGTTTGATAAATGTATATATTGTGAAATGATTACCACAATCGAGCTAATTTACATGTTCATCACCTCATATAGTTATGGTTTTGTGTGTGTGATGAGAACATGTAAAATCTATTGCTAGCAGATTTCAAAGACATAATACATTATTATTAACTATAGTTGTCATGCTGTACAATAGAACTCCAGAACTTACTCCTTCCACCTAATTGAAACTTTGTGCCCTTTGACCAGCATCCAAGATTATCCTTATTTGTTTTCCTCTATAGGTAAAGTTGGTTTTTCATCCTTTGCCTTCTTTTAAGTTTTTATCTTTTCTTTCATTTTCTAAAGTTTAAATATGGTATTTCTACATGTAGATTATTTGGTATTTATCCTATTTTGTTGTTCGCTGAGTTTCCTAGATCTACGATTTGGTGTCTGTTATTAATGTTGGAAAATTCTCAGACACCATTACTTCAAATATTTATTCTGTCCCTGTTTCTCTCTCTTCTCCTTCTGGTCTTACCATTATGTATAAGTTACATCTTTCTTTATTATCCCACAGTTTTTGGACATTCTCTTTTAGTTTTATCATTTTTTTCTATTTGCTTTTTAGTTTGAGAAGTTGCTATTGACATATCTTCAAGCTCTATTGACATAACTTCAAGTTCACAGATTTTTTTTTTTCCCTCAGGCATCTCTAGTCTATTGATGAGGCCATTGTCTTAGTCCATCTGGGCTGCTATAACGGAATACATAGAGTGAGTGGCTTATAAACAAGAGAAATTTATTTCTCACAGTTCTGGAGGCTGGGAAGTCCAATATCAAGGTGCTGCCAATAGACCTGGTATCTAATGAGAGCCCACTTCCTAAGTCATAGGTGGCTGTTTTCTCATTGCATCTGTACATAGTGCAAAGGACAAAGGAGCTCTCTGGGGCTCATTTTGTAAAGCACTGATCCCTTCCATGAGGGCTCTGCTCTCATGACCTAATCGTTTCCCCAAAGCCCCATCCCCAAATACCATCACATTAGAGATTAGATTTCAACACATGAATTTTGACAAACATTTCACTCTATGCACCCGTCAAAGGCATTCTTCATTTTTGTTATGGTGTTTTGGATTTCTAGCATTTCCTTTTGATTCTTAAAGTTTCCATCTCTCTGCTTACACTAACCATCTTACATATTGTACACTTTTCTTCCGTTAGATCCCTTTGCATGTTAATCACGGTTATTTTAAATTCCCAATCTGATAATTCCAAAATCTCTGTCATATCTGATTCTGGTTTTCATACTTGCTTTGTCTCTTCAGACTGTGTGTTTTGCCTTTTACCATGTCTTGTAATTTTTGTTGAATGCTGGACATCACGTATGGGTAAAGGGAACTATGGCAAATAGGCCTTTAGTGGGAAGTGTTGTGTTTATATGGCCAGAAGTTAGGCTGTGTTTACTATTTGCTGTAGCCATAGATATCAGTGGGTAAAATTTTCTCTGGTGTCCTTGTGTTTATCTCCCCATTGTCTTTGGGTTTCTGTAGATATTCCTTCTTAAATAGGGTTGGAACCTTGCAGTTCTTTCCATTGTAATCCCGTTAGCATATAGGAGCCCTACTGGTGTGATGGTGAGATGTGGGGGCAAGGAAAGCATTCTATAATCCTGTGATTAGGTCTCGGTCTCACTCAGGTCTCATGATGAGTTTGTGCCCCTGCACTGTTATTTCACAAGTGCTACTCAACTTCCTCCTCTCCCTTAAGTGAGACAGGAAGTTTAGAGTTGGGTATTTCCCTTCCTCCATGTTGAAGGTTAGAGGGAGCTGGGTATTTTTCTTCCCCCACATTGTCAATTAGGCTCTGGTAAAACCTATAGTTGGGGCAGGCATGGTGGCTTACACCTGTAATCCCAGCACTTTGGGAGGCCAAGGCAGGTGGATCACCTGGGGTTAGGAGTTCAAGACCAGCCTGGCCAACATGGTGAAACCCCATCTCTATTAATAATACAAAAAGTTAGCCAGGCATGGTGGCACATGCCTGTAATCCCAGCTACTCCAGAGGCTGAGGCAGGAGAATCATTTGAACCTAGGTGGCGGAGGTTGCAGTGAGCCGAGATTGCCCCATTGCACTCCATCCTGGGTGACAAGAGCAAAACTCTATCTCCAAAAACAAAAACCTACAATGGGTTAGGCTCTGGTAAAATCATTTCCCTTGAGAGCCAGCCATTATTAAGGAAATATACTCTGAGCATATTTCAAAATTGCTGTTTTTGGGGGTCTGACAGGGGTTGCTTTTCTCCTCCCCGTCAGAAGCATAAAAGGATCCTTCTAAAATCTTCACAGTAAGAATCTGGTGGTGTTCCTGGAGGTAAAACTCAGGAAACTGTGACGGTCCTCTTAAGACTCCCCACACCCCAGCCCAGAGTTTCTAATTCCCAAGCTAGTTCACAACGATTCTCCCACTTGTCAATTGTGGTCTCGGTGTGTGTACCTGTGCTGGCCCCAGCAGTGGGCTTCTGCTCCTGGGCTTCTATTCCAGTTAAGCCATGATTCTTCGTATTCACCTCTCTCCCATTTTCAGAGCAGCAGCTTGCCCTGTGACTTGAGTTCTTTGAGGAATCTAAGAAGAGTTGTTGCTTTTGAATTTGTTGCACTTTTTATTGTGGGAATAGGACTGATGACTTCTAATCTCTTTACATGTTGGAGTGTAAACCAGGACTCTACATTTTATTTTATTGATAACTGCTGGTGGTGAACATTTATGGTCTTTCCGACTTCTGTTTCTCCCTTTCTGACAGCTGCCAATTTCTGTTTGGCATCCAGGTGGCTCCAGGGAGTGTGGTTCCAGCCCAGGCTCCAGAGAGGGGGTATCAGAATATCTAATGGCCTGGCGATGGTGTGATGGTTCTATATGGGTGTGTGACCTAAGTTACCTTAACAAGATTCTTTACACTAGCATTGCTCAACTCAGTTTCCATGAGAGAATTAAGCCCTACACAAAATGACTCGGCTATTTTCTAAATTTCCCCAAAGATACATAGCTGGCAACATTCTAGACGCATAGGATGGAAGTTAGTACATGACAGAGTGTATGTTTTGGGACGTTCAGTTAATTCCCTCAGGGAACTCTGGTAGAAGAGGACAACTCTAGACTCTTGCTCCTCATCAAGCAAAGAAATGACCTTGCCACCAGAAGTCTGAGAGACAAAAAAGAGCTACCAAGTCTGACTTGGGCCAAAACCCAGAAGAGAAAGGAATCCCAAAAACAGACTGCTAATGATTGAACTGCTTCCCCTCAAAACGCATTTGCTGACTCCAACACAGGGACTGAGATAGCAGAGAGTGTAGCTGAGAGGCTAAGAAGTGAGCAGAGTTTTAGCGGCTTATGGGGCTGGAGAGATAAAACTTGCAGGTAAGGTGCTGCCAAAGGGAAAAGTACAATAAACACTCTCAGCTTTGAAATGGGAGTTTTAGCGTGCTATACATTCTAGGAGTAAGGCATAATCGGAAATAGGCCAAGCCTCGCAAAGAATGAAACTCAGCTTTAAGCAACTAACTCGATCATGGGTTGGATAAAAGGGATCTACTCCTATCCTTTCTGCCTGCCAGACTCAAAAATAAGTCATTTCTGGAAGAAGAAGCTATCATCCAGAGCAGTGCTATCCAATAGAAATTTCATATGAACCACATACATAATTTAAATTTTTCAAGAGCCACTTTAATAAAAGTAAAAAGAAACAGGTGAAATTAATGATGTATTTTATTTAATTCAATAATCTAAAATATTACCACTTCAACATGTTAATATTTAAAATTTTTCATCTGTCATGGTTGTAGTGAAAAAAGAAAAATATTTTAAAAATAAAAAATTATAAGTGACAGATTTTACATTTTTATATTTCATAGTCTTTGAAATCTGGTATGTGTTTTTTTTGTTTGTTTGTTTGTTTTGTTTTGTTTTTTTAGACAGAGTCTTGCTCTGTTGCCAGGCTGGAGTGCAGTGGCGTGATCTCGGTTCACCACAACCTCCGCCTCCCAGGTTCAAGCAATTCTCCTGCCTCAGCCTCCCAAGTAGCTGGGACTACAGGTGCATGCCAGCATGCCCGGCTAATTTTTGTATTTTTAGTAGGTACAGGGTTTCACTATGTTGGCCAGGATGATCTCGATCTCTTTACCTCATGATCCACCCGCCTCACCCTCCCAAAATGCTGGGATTACAGGAGTGAGCCACCGTGCCTGGCCTGGTACGTGTTTTTTAAACTTATAGCACATCTCAATTAGGATGCCAAATTTGCATCAGAAATACTGGGTCCGGGTTCTCTCATGAGGCTGCCTTAGCGGTATCAGCCAGTGGTGCAGCTGTCTCAAGGCTTGACCAGGGAGGGATAAGCTTCCATGCTCATTCACGTGATCCCTGGTAAGTTTCCACATTTTGCTGGTTGTTGGACTGGAGGCCTCAGTGCCTCACTGTCTGTTGGCTGGAGGCCGCCTTCAGTTCCTTGCTACTAAGGCCTCTCAAAACACGTCTGCTTCCTTCCACAGAGCAATCGAGAAGAGAGCCAGAAAGAGAGGAGATGGAAATCATAGTCTTTTATAACTTAATCTCAGAAGTCATTAGTTTTACTGTATTCTCTTTGTTAGAAGCAAGTCCCTAGATTTCACCCACACCCAAGAGAGGGGACTATATACAGCTATGAATACCATGAGGCAGCAATCACTGGGAGACATTTTAGAGGCTGCCTGCCCCACAACCCAAATGTCCATCTGTAGGTGAATGGACACTGATAAGTTTTGGCTCTGTGTCCCTACCCAAATATCATGCTGAATTGTACTCCCCACGGGTTGGAGTGAAGGAAGAAAATGACAAACACAAAATTCAGGGTCATGGTTACTTCTGAAGGAAAGACATACATAGAGATTCCATAGTACTGGAAATTGAACAATACACAACCAAAAATAAAATGCACAAGAGTGATTAACAAAAAATGCAAATTGTTAACAAATACCAGGAAAAAGATAAACCTTATTACGTCAGAGCTATTCAAATGAAAATAATAATGAGAGACAACTATTCCCATAGGATAAAGAAGAATGTATTAAAACAATGGCAATATAGTGTTAGGGAAATGAAGTTAGCGAAAGCAGTAAGAGTGGAGGTGCTTCTCCTGAAGCTGAGAATCTGGAATCTGGGAAGCAAAACCAGAGGCAGGTATTAAATTATTAAATGCTCACATCTATAATCCCGGTGTATCCGGAGTTGGTTCCTTCCAGTGGGTTCATGGTCTTGCTAACTTCGAGAATGGAGCTGTGGACCTTCACGGTGTGTTACAGCTCTTAAAGATGGCATGGACCCAAAGAGTGAGTAGCAGCAAGAAATGTTGTGAAGAGCAAAAGAACAAAGCTTCCATAGCATGCAAGGAGACCAGAGTGGGTTGCCGCTGCTGGCTGAGGGGTGGCCAGCTTTTATTCTGTTATTTGTCCCCGCCCATGTTCCGTTTCTGTCCTATCAGAATGCCCTTTTTTTTCAATCCTCCCTGTTATTGGCTACTTTTAGGATCCTGCTGATTGGTGCATTTTACAGAGTGCTGATTGGTGCATTTTACCATCCCCTTGCTAGCTACAGAGCACTGATTGGTACATATTACAATCCTAGCTACAGAGTGCTGATTGGTGCATTTTACAATCCTCTTGCTAGAAAGAAAAGTTCTCCAAGTCCCACTCTACCCAGGAAGTCCAGGGACTTCATCTCTCACCACACTTTGGGAGGCCGAGGCAGGTGGATCACCTGAGGTCAGGAGTTCGAGACCAGCCTAGTCAACATGGTGAAACCCTGTCTCTACTAAAAGTACAAAAATTATGGCCGGGCCCAGTGGCTCACTCCTGTAATCATAGCACTTTGGGAGGCCAAGGCGGGCAGATCATGAGGTCAGGAGATCTAGACTGTCCTGGCCAACATGGAGAAACCCCGTCTCCACTAAAATACAAAAAAATTAGCCAGGCGTTGTGGTGGGCGCCTGTAGTCCCAGCTACTTGGGAGGCTGAGGCAGGAGAATTGCTTGAACCCGGGAGGTGGAGGTTGCAGTGAGCTGAGATCGTGCCACTGCACTCCAGCCTGGGTGACAGAGCCAGACTCTGTCTCAAAAAAAAAAAAAAAGAAAAAGCTTCAGCCCCAGCACTTAGTTTCTCCTGTGGTTTCATGCTTGGTTCATCCGAGCATACTCAGGTCACATGACCTAAGGAGCCATGGCCACTGAAAAACAACTTACAACCTTGTTACATTAAAGTTGAAGCAGATGGGTCTGGTGCAGCTGCAGTTGGGTTAGACGGAGGCGTCTTTGCTTCACCACAAATCCATAAACTCATTCTGAGCTGGACCTGTGTTCTAATCACTCCGATATCCCCCACAGGCCTTGCTCACGGTGGAGGAAATTTTCTGTCTCCACTTCAATGCCCAAAATTACCCCTCATGTCAACTTCTGGAAGGCTTTTCCTTGGCGAAGTCTTCCCAGAGCCCCATGCATGTCCTTGTTCCTCAGGCTGTAGATGAAAGGGTTAATCATGGCGTCACCACCGCATACATCACTGTGGCTACTGAGTCCTTCATGGAGTAGGTTTGGAGGGGCTGCAGGTACACCATACCCAGAGTCCCATAGAAGAGGGAGACCACAGCCAAATGGGAAGCACAGGTGGAGAAGGCTTTGTACTTCCCAGTGGCTGAGGGTATTTGGAGGATGGCTCTGACAATGCGGGCGTAGGATGTGATCATGAAACCTAAGGGGATGAGGAAGATGAAGCAGCCCGTGGCAACCAGTACTGTGTGGTTGACGTGGATGTTGGAACATGCCAGCCTTAGCAGGAAGTACATCTCACAGAAGAGGTAGTGGATCTTTTGAGACCCACAGAAGGTCACCTGGTCATGAGGAGGATATGGATGAGGCCATAGAGGGCAGAGAACACCCAACACAAGGAGAGGAGCAAGATACAGAGCCCAGGGATCATGGCTGTGACATAGTGGAGGGGACGGCAGATGGCCACATAGCGATCATACGCCATCACGGCCAGGTTGAGGTTGTCCAGGGCCACCAAGGAGACCAGGAAGTAGAGCTGTGTCAGACACCCTGTGTAGGAGATGGCTTTGTTCTGGGACTGGAGGTTCACCAGCATCTTGGGGATTGTGTTGGTGACAAAGAAGAGGTCAGTGAAGGAGAGGTTGGCCAGGAAGAAGTACATGGGGGTGTGCAGGCGGGAATCAGAGCTGATGGCCAGGATGATGAGCACATTTCCCAGCACCGTGACCAGGTACCTGACCAGGAACATCCAAAACAGCATCTGCTGCTGCTCAGGACTCTCTGAGATCCCCAGGAGAAGGAACTCTGAACCTTCACTCTGGTTGCCTCCATCCATTTCCCCAACTCTCTGCAACATTAACACCAACAAATGTTTACAAGGTGTCCTCAATTTGTAAGATGACAAGAAGATAAGCAAAATCAGCTATTTTCTTAGCATTAAAAATATTTTAGACTAAATTTTATAATCTGTTTAGATAGGCAACAAAGTCATAAGGCACAAAAACAGAACGTGGAAAATCTCTGTGCAACTTAATTATTCCAGCAACTTCTAATCTGGCATACTCAATATTATAGGAATAATATCTATGACTTATTTTAAATCCTATCATCTTACTGTACTCTTGAAATGTTTAAAGATGAGTATGTTATGTTATGACATTTTATAGATTTTTAAAACAGATGTATACATTATAAGAAATAGATATTGTACAACTAGACAAAGGGGAACATATTGGAAAGGAGAGGGAAAAATTATTATTTGCTTATATGATAGTCTATTTGGGAACCCTCAATTGATGAAATGTCACTAGAAATAAAAAGGGATGTCAGTAAAGTTACCAAACACAAAATGAATAGACCCCAAACTAATGGTGCTCCCAGTAAGCCATATAGTGTAGCCATACAGCCTGTGCCCTCAGAATGCAAATCCGAGTACTACCACCGACTAGCTGTGACATCCCAGGCAGGTTACTTGAGCTCTTCCAGAACTGGGATCCTTCATGTGCAACATGGGGGTGGCAAGGATAAAATTAAGTAATAAAGTATTCAAATATTGCCCATTATTCCATATATTATATCTATGAATTAGGTTAAAATACAATACAAAGCAATCCCATTTCCATTATCTAAGTATTACGATGTTAACAAGAATTGCTCAGGACCTGCAGATTCTCCCAAGAGACATAAGATATACATTTAATAAATAGATAAAATTACCAAAAGTAACGCATAGTCACTTGCATTAACCTGAAGCTTAACCTCTCAAAGTCAAGATCATGGGATTTGGGGGAAACAAAAGCTAACCTAAATTTTACCTAAAAGTAAGCATGAAAATAAGCTAGGAAAAGACTGAAACAGAGTAACGAAGGAAACCCGCTCTGCCAAATATCCAGACTCTGAAGCCTGGTACTGATGCTAGAGTGAGCAGGTGAGTAGAACTGGATGGAACTTCAGAAACAGCCAGTACACGTGGATTTAGTGGATTGTTATGGTAGTACTTTTATTTTATTTTATTTTATTTTATTTTATTTTATTTTATTTTATTTTATTTTATTTTATTTTATTTTATTTTATTTTATTTTTTAAGACCAAGTTTCACTCTTGTCATGAGGTTGGAGTGCAGTGGCGCACAATCTCAGCTCACTGCAACCTCCACCTCCCGGATTCAAGCAATTCTCCTGCCTCAGCCTCCCAAGTAGCTGGGATTAAAGGTGCTCGCCACCACGGCCGGCTAATTTTTGTATTTTTAGTAGAAACAGGGTTTCACCATGTTGTTCAGGCTGGTCTCAAACTCCTGACCTCGTGATCTGCCTGCCTCGGCCTCCCAAAGTGCTGGGATTACAGGCGTGAGCCACTGCGCCCAGCCTAAAATTTTATTTCAAATGCAATAAAGAGCCTTAAAGGACTTTAAGCCGAAGAGGATATGTTTATTTAGCAACTCTCCTTCTGCTTGCATTTTACCAGGAGTATTTTAATAATCAAGTAGGGCTGCTGCATCTTTAAGCAGATGCTTTTTAAGTTTTTATCACAGTTAACAGCGTTCCCAATATGGAGCCATACTTGTGTTCTTGGTATAAACTATTAAAATTGACTCCCTAATGTTTTATGTGGCTTTTGTAGTTATATTTATAAACAGGATTGGTCCACAGCCTGTTTGTGTGGTGTGGGGGGCCAATCTTACTCACTTTGCATTATCACACCTGCATTTATTTTGCAAAAGAAAATGCAATAACTATGGCAAAAAATACTGCAAGGAAATAGACTTTTTGGAGCTAAGTCACACTGTTATAAGTTATACTGACAGTTATTAAAGAGACTTGAGATCGTACACTTTTTGCTTTTATGCCGGGAATCATTATCACAGTGCTGGACACTGTAGCAAATAGCAGACTCCTTGTATCTGGCCTTCAAGTCTTTCATAAATTTAATTTTATATTTCTTGAAGATCATAACAATATGTTCAAAAACTCATTTTCACACACACACACACTATTATCCTTGAAAACTATCTTTTCGGCATCAATTACTAAGTATTTTTCCACAAAAAAGGAGAAAAACGTACACTCAACAATGTCATTTTGTGACTTGGGAAACTAACAAAAAAGGACATGCTTTTGTTTCAGCATATTCTAATTCTAGAAATTTAATATAATCAGACAATGTAAAAATGTAGGTATTTTCTGAGATGTTTCTCAGAACCTGTTAATAATCGAAAAAAGTGTAGAAATAACATAAACATTCAACATTCGAGATTTTCTTTGAAAGATTACAGAATAAGCAAATCCATAGAGACAGAAGGTAGACTGGTGGCTCCCAGGAGCTGGGGAGAGGGAGACACGAGGAGCGACTGTGAAAGGGTACAGGATTCTTTCGAGAGTGATGAAAATGCTGCAGAATTAGATGTGGTGATAGTTGCAAAAGCACATGAGTATATTAAAACCATTCCGGCCGGGTGCAGTGGCTCATGCCCGTAATCCCAGCACTTTGGGAAGCCAAGGCAGATGGATCACCTGAGGTCAGGAGTTCGAGACCAGCCTGACCAACATGGTGAAACCACGTCTCTACTAAAAATACAAAACATTAGCCTGGCGTGGTGGTGGCGCCTGTAGTCTCAGCTACTCGGGAGGCTGAGGCAGGAGAATCGCTTGAACCCAGGAGGCGGAGGTTGCAGTGAGCCAAGATCGCGCCACTGCATTCCAGCCTGGGCAACAAGAGTGAAACTTTGTCTCAAACAACAACAACAAAAAACAAACAAAAATAATTCCGTTGTACACTTTAAACGGCTGAATTTTATGGCATTACTTACATCTCAGTAAGTCTGTTTTAAAATTACATAATCCATCGAATTAATGGAACACTCTGGAATGATCATAAACAATGATGCTAATTTTTTTTAATTTATATATGGAAAGATGGTTATAGTAATTGTTAAATTAAGAATCCAGTTTATTATTCTTCTATAATAATATAAAAAACATGCAGTTCACCCACACTGGATGCTAGTGCTACTGAGTCTTCAGTGTCACTGTGAGGGTGAAGGCAAGAATATAAAGGGCTCAGCACCCATGCTGCATTGGGTGTGCTTTCGAAATTACAAAGCAGATCACGTAGCGTCCCTGTAGTAGCTGAGCTTTCCCACGTCCTCCAGAGCAGGCCAACTTTGTGGCCGGTTCGTCAGTGCTCCAGGCTGCTTTATCCCCAGTGGCTTCTCCTACTCCCTGGCCTTGCACTTCTAGAATGCAAGAAACACTTTTCCTTCCATCCTTAGCCTCACTCTTCCTTTTCACCAAATGCGCTTTCTCCACTCTGATCTTCCACTGTCAGCCTGGAAGGACCCATTATTGCTCCCAGTCAAGCACCTCCTCCCACCCCAGAGGTCACAATGACAGGTTCTGCGTTATATCTTGGTCTTCACATTCTTTTAGGATGGTCCATCTCATGTTTTTCCTAAATGTCTGTTTTCCCACGACACTGTGAGCACCTCCACAGCAGGGAAAACATCATTGTCGTTACTGCATCCTCAGGACCTCAGCCAGTACCAGTCATAGTGTAGGCATCCATACACAAGGGCTGAACTGAACTGCATAGAATATTCGACACTCCGTGCAATTGAGAACAATAAGTAAGGAATCGTGATGAGCCCAAGAGCCTAAGAAAGTAAGAGACAGTACAGAGAAAAATGCAGTTGTGCGAAAATCCAGCCAGTGTGCCAGCAAAGTGTAGAGCCTGTTCTGCAAATTCAATCGGAAACATTATTAATTTGAAGTAATGAAGAATAAATAAATGCAGATGTGGGAACTGTGAGTAACCCAGAAGGAGCTCCAGGTGAAGGGCAGAGGATGAGGCAGGCCCTGCATTTAGGAAATGAGTGGATTCATTACTCCAATTCCCCAAATCCAGTTCTCAGATATTCAGTGCCACTGGTATGTCAGAAAATTTCGAGTCAGAAGCTTGGGTTTGAATCCAAGTTTAACACATAACAACTGTGTTTTGAGCAAACCACCACCTTTTACTCAGCATTTGGTCAGACAATGTGTGAAATACTTTATATCAAGATCTTTAGTTCACACAACAACCCTACTTGGTCCTATTGTCCCATTTTATAGATGAGGAACTGAGGCTTGGAAAGTAAGTTTCCTGAAATTGCTTGACTAGTAAGTGACGAAGACCAGATTTGATTCCCCTATTCTGTCGCTCAAGTCCACTCCCTAGCAAGCCTGGTGCCTGGAGTTCAGCGCCCTCTGGGACTCTTTCCTGACAGGTGACAGGGAAAGCCAGAGACCCCCAGAGGAATCAGTACCACTGCTTTCTAGCCCTCACGGCAAAGGTCTCCGGACCCTGTGCATCAGAATCACCTGTGATGCCTCAACACAGAAAGTCAGTTTTCTGGCCCCCTGTTTTGAATTCTGCTCTGAGAACCAAGTCTTTTTAGGAAGGACCCAGTGATTTGGATCCTGTGCTTTGGGAAACACTGCTCTGAGTCCGTAAGAGTCAGTGGTTCTGAACAGTTGTGTGGTCAGATGGCCTTAGAGAGACAAACCCTCTTGCAGCGTGGCTGGGGGAAGAGGGGAGAGAACGCGGGGGCCATATGGAAAAGGGCTCCACGCTTGGTGTCAGGACACTGTGCTTGGTACCTCCCCTGTCATTTCCTGGCTGCGTGACCTCGAGCAGGGCATGCAACATCCCTGAGCCGCCTCCTCGCACCCACAAAGACTTTCTTGCAGGTTGTGAGAATCACATGCAGCAGGGCGTGTGACAGCACTTTGCAAAAGAGCAGTAAAATAATTGCAGGGATTCTTCGATTCCCTTTCAACACTAATACGCGAGATTATATGAAGAGTTTTTAAAGTATGCAAGGATGTTTGTGAGAGGGAAATGAAGAAGAGAGAAAAAGGAAGGAAGGAAGAAAGAAAAAGAAAAAGAGAAAGGAAAGAAAGAAAGGAAGAGAGAGGAATGAGAGGAAGGAAGGAAGGGAAAGAGAAAAAGGAAAGAAGAAAGAAGGAAGGAAAGAGAGAAAGAGGAAGGAGGAGGAAGAGAGAAGGAAGAAAGGAAGGAGGGAGGGAGGCAGGAAGAGAGAGGGAAGGAAGGAATGAAGGAAGGAAAGAGAAAGAAAAGAGAAAAAGAAAAGAAAGAGAAGGAGGGAGGGAGGAAGGAAGAAAGGAAGGAAGGAAGGAAAAGGAAAGGAAGAAAAAAGAAAAGAAAAGAAATCAAGCCTGAGGCTGAGCCATCCAGACCTTACCCAGTGTCCGTTCTGCTCTCAGAATTCACAGGTTCTGCTGCCTCCACTTTTCTCCTCCATCCAGTGAACGTTCAGAGTCAGGACATACAGGGCCGTAAGTCTGGTTGTGGGACTCAAGGCTGGAGCAGGGTACAGGTGAAAAGCAGGAGAACTGGCGCCTGGACCTTTGGTCCCCAGAAGAGAGGAGACACAATGTAAGACAGGGTGCCCCAGCCAGGCTGCGGGACCCGAAAGCTGATGACTGAGCCTCAGGTCGGGAAGGAAGAGGCCATGTCAGAACTGTGTCAGGATTATTTATCAGTTTGGGGGAGGCCTCAGGGAGGCAATCCCAAGATGGTGTCTTCAGATAAACCTGGGTAATTCCCTCAATCTCAATATCTATGTGCAAAGGCCTTGGGAAATGAGTCTTGTTTACAAGGAGTAGGCCAGAGTCTCCCTCCTCCCGCACATGGACACCTTCCTGCTCCATCTCCCTTTCCTCTTTCTGGTGGATAGGATGCTCTTGGCTCTCCCAAACCATGGCTCCCAAAGCCCTCCCTCTCTCTGACCAAACCATGGCTCCCTCAGTCCTCCCTCTCTCTGCCTCAGCCCACCCTCTGTCTGCCTCAGCCCGCCCTCTCTCTGCCTCAGCCCGCCCTCTCTCTGACCAAACTCCTAGCTCCGCTGTCTCAGAGCTGAAAGGACTTCAGATTCAAACCAGGCTACGCAGCCTTATATCCTCCACATAAAGTAATTGGATTTTTAGCACCCTGGCCAAACAACACCTCATCTGGCTAACAACTCATCTTGTCTTTGTATCTCCTCTTTATTTTTATTTTATTTTTTGAGACAGGGTCTTGCTCTGTTGCTCAGGCTGGGGTGCAGTGGCACCATCATCACTGCTCACTACAGCCTCAACCTCCCAGGCTTAAGCGATCCTGACACTTCAGCCTCCCGAGTAGCTGGGACCACAGGTGTGTGTCACCACACCTGGCTAATTTTTTTTATTTCTTTGTAGAGACGAGGTCTCACCATGTTGCCCAAGCTGGTCTCAAACTCCTGGGCTCAAGCAATTTTTCCACCTTGGCCTCCCAAAGTGCTGGGATTATAGGACTGAACCTAGCCCTGTATTTCCTCTTCTATGGGAAGTTTACTGCCTTCCAACAGGTTTCAAGCAACATGCCTCTGGTCCTCATACTTGGCAGGTGTAAAACATGTCAGTTTGGAGTCCTCCTTCAGGCCAGAGTGACACCATAGGCACTGTGCTGGAGGAGAATGTGAATGATTTCAGCACTGTTCCTAGTTCTACTACTAATGGGCCATGATTATCGTTCTAGGCCTAGTTTCCCCTACTTTTCTTTGTTTCTTTTTTTTTTTTTCTAGACCGAGTCTCGCTCTATCACCCAGGCTGGAGTGCAGTGGCACGATCTCGGTTCACTGCAACCTCCGCCTCCCGAGTTCAAGTGATTCTCCTGCCTCAGCCTCCCAAGTAGCTGGGACTGCAGGCGCCCGCCACCACGCCCAGCTACTTTTTTGTATTTTTCATAGAGTTTAGTAGGAGTTTCACCATGTTAGCCAGGATGGTCTCAATTTCCTGACCTCGTGATCTGCCTGTCTCAGCCTCTCAAAGTGCTGGGATTACAGGCGTGAGCCACCGTGCCCAGCAGTTTCCCCTACTTTTCAAATCTAACAATAACAAGCCCTCCATGGTGAGATTCTGAGGTGGGCAGGGCTGCCTCAGTGCCACCACCCAGCCATCCCACAGAGTCATTTGGAGAACGTACCCTCTCACCTGCTACTGAAGTCCCTGCATTCAGTCTTCACCCCTGCATCCCCCTTCTGGGAGCAGCCCAGACTCCCGACACCTCTCATCAAAACCAACCTCAGTTCTACTCATACCCAGAGTTTATCTTGCCGTTCATCTTTTTCTTGCGCTGTTCATGTGTTGTTGACGGCAGGCATTGGGCTCAGTGCTGCAGATACCACCAGGAACAAGATGAACGTAACTGCCTCCCCTCCTGGAGTCTGCAGACCAGTATGGGAGAAGTCTTCTAAAGTAAACAGACTGGGAAATAAAATCATCACAAACTGATGAATGCCCCCAGGAAACGGGAATCTGAGCTACAGATAATAGGGGAAGAGAAGTGATCGACTTCTTAGATCACTTGGTCAGAAAAGGTATCTGATGTTGGCGTGGATGCGGTGAACAGGGAACACTTGTACACTGCTGGTGGGAATGTAAACTAGCACAGTCACTATGGAAAACAGTGTGGAGAGATTCCTTAAAGAATTAAAAGTAGAACTACCGTTTGATCCAGCAATCCCACTACTGGGCATCTACCCAGAGGAAAAGAAGTCATTATTCGAAAAAGATACTTGCACACACATGTTTATAGCAGCACAATTCACAATTGCAAAATCGTGGAACCAACCCTAATAACCATCAATCAACGAGTGGATAAAGAAACTGTGGTATATATATGATGGAATGCTATGCAGCCATAAAAAGGAATGAATTAACAGCATTTGCAGTGACCTGGATGAGATTGTAGACTGTTATTCTAAGTGAAGTAACTCAGGAATGAAAAACCAAACATCGTATGTTCTCACTGATATGTAGGAGCTAAGCTATGAGGATGCAAAGGCATAAGAATGATACTGTGGACTTTGGGGACTCGGGGGGAAGAGTAGGGGGTGAGGGATAAAAGACTACAAATAAGGTGCAGTGTATACTGCTCGGGTGATGGGTACACCAGAATCTCACAAATACCACTAAAGAACTTACTCATGTAACCAAACACCACCTGTACCCCAATAACTTACGGAAAAATAAAAAAATAAACATCTAAACATAGAAAAAAAACAAAAGAAAAGATATCTGAGAAAGAGACATTTAAGCTAAGACCAGAAAACTGAGAGGGTGTCACCTACTCAAAGGACTGAGAAAAGACCTTTCCAGAGAGAGGAAACAGCACCTGCAAGGACATGAAAGTGGGGAATTAGTTTTTTGTGTTCCAGGACTGAGAGAAAGTCAGTGCTAGTGTTTTGTGAGCAAGATGATGACACAAATTAACGTCAGGAGGGAAGGAGGGGCAGATGGAGCTGGTGAGTCTTTCTGTTTTTTATCCTAGTTACAATGAAAGGTTATTGAAGTATTTTGAGCAGGGGAGTGGATTGATTCAAATAGGTTGAAAGACGGTCATTTGGGTTGCTACATGCAGACAAGGCTTGGAGACAGACAGAAGCAAGTTTGGAAGACCAGTGGCTCAGGCAGGAGGGGAGGGCTGCTTGAACTAGGATAGGACCAGGGAAAATAGGAACATACATTAGCTACCTACATCTGGAGGTGAAATCATGAAGATTCAGTGGTGGACTGGGTCTTGGACATAAAACAAAAGGGAAGGTCAAGGATGGCCTCCATTTTCTTCTTAAGGAATTTGGGGAGGTACTTAACGAATTAACACGAGAAAGGGTTTAAGCTCCTGAGAGGCGAGCAGGGAGATGGCAGGCGGGTACTGAGATACGTGAGAGGTTTTGTATGGGGATACGAATTTGGAGACATACAAAATTATCTTGAGCCGTCGAGTCAGATGAGATCATCTACAGAACAGGAGAGGGAAAGGGGAGGTCTAAAGAAGAGGTCTTCATTTCTTTGAATTCTTTTCCAACTTTTTTTTTTTTTTTTTTTTAGACAGATTCTCACTCTGTCGCCCAGGCTGGAGTGCAGTGGCGCGATCTTGGCTCACTGCAAGCTCCACCTCCCAGGTTCACACCATTCTCCTGCCTCAGCCTCCCGAGTAGCTGGGACTACAGGCGTCCGCCACCACGCCCGGCTAATTTTTTGTATTTTTTAGTAGAGACAGGGTTTCACCACATTAGCCAGGATGGTCTAGATCTCCTGACCTCTTGATCTGCCCGCCTTGGCCTCCCAAAGTGCTGGGACTACAGGCGTAAGCCACCGCGCTGGGCCTCCTGGAGGTTTTTTTGAAGGGACGTTAGGAAGCCAATAACTACCATTTTACTTTCTTCAATATTTAGCATCTGTTCAATTCTCTATTTCTTGGGCCAATTTTGGCATGTTATGTTTTTCCAGGAAATTGTCAGTTATATATATTAGGCATATAGTGGTTCATAATGCTCATTATTTTTATTTTTTACTTGTTTATTTTTAATTTTTGTGGGTATATAATAGGTGTATATATTAATGAGGCACACAAGATAACCTGATACAAGCATGCAATGTGGAATAACCGCATCATGGAAAACGAGGTATTCATCCCCTCAAGCATTTATACTTCGTGTTACAAACAATCCAATTATACTCTTTTAGTTATTTTTAAATGTACAATTAAATTATTATGGACTATAGTCACCCGGTTGAGCTATCAAATATTAGATATCATTCATTCTATTTTTTTGTACACATTAATCATTCCCGCTTCTCCCCCATCCTCCCACTCCCCTTCCCACCCTCGGGTAATCATCCTTCTACTTTCTATCTCCATGGGTTTGTTTTTATTTTTAGCTCCCAGAAATAAGTGAGAAAATATGAAGTTTGTCTTTCTGTGCCTGACTTATTTCACTTAACATAATGTCCTGCAGTTCCATCCATGTTGTTTCAAATCTCATTCTTTTTTTAGTGGTAGAATTACTTTTATTCAATTATGATTCTTCTTTTTTATTTTTATTTTTATTATACTTTAAGTTCTGGGATACATGTACAGAACGTGCAGGTTTGTTACATAGGTATACACGTGCCATGGTGGTTTGCTGCACCCATCAACCCATCATCTACATTAGGTATTTCTCCTAATGCTGTCCCTCCCCTAGTCCCCCACCCCACCCTGCGGCAGGCCCTGGTGTGTGATGTTCCCCTCCCAGTGTCCATGTGTTCTCATTGTACAACTCCCACTTATGAGTGAGAACATGTGGTGTTTGGTTTTCTGTTCTTGCAATAGTTTGCTGAGAATGATGCTTTCCAGCTTCATCCATGTCCCTGCAAAGGATATGAACTCATCCTTTTTTATGGCTGCATAGTATTCCATGGTGTATATGTGCCACATTTTCTTTATCCAGTCTGTCATTGATAGGCATTTGGGTTGGTTCCAAGTCTTTGCTATTGTGAATACTGCCACAATAAACATACATGTGCATGTGTCTTTATAGTAGAATGATTTATAATCCTTTGGGTATATACTCAGTAGTGGGATTGCTGGGTCAAATGGTATTTCTGGTTCTAGATCCTAGAGGAATCGCCACACTGTCTCCTACAATGGTTGAACTAATTTACATTCCCACCAGCAGCGTAAAAGCGTTCCTATTTCTCCACATTTAGGATTTCATTCTTTTTTTATGGTTGCATAGTTCTCCATTGTGTATATATACCACATTTTCTTTATCCAATCATCTGTTGATGGACACTGTGGTTGTTTTCAAATCTTGACAATTGTGAACAATGCTGCAACAAACAGGGGCGTACAGATATCTCTTCAATATACTTATTTCCTTTCTTTGGAGTATATACCTCACAACAGGATTTCTGGATCCTATGGTAACTCTAATTTTAGTTGGTTTTTTTTTTTTTTTGAAGAACCTCCAAACTGTTCTCCATAGTGCTTGTATTAATGTACATGCACATCAATAGTGGATGAGGGTCCCCTTTTCTTCTCATGCTCACCAACATTTGTTACTGCCTGTCTCTTGGATAAGAGCCATTTTAACTGGGATGAGATGGTATCTCATTGTAGTTTTGATTTGCATTTCTCTGACAATCAATGATATTGAGCACCTTTTCATATGTCTGTTTGCCATTTGTATATCTTCTTTTGAGAAATGTCTATTCAAATATTTTGCCAATTTTTAAGTTGGATTATTAGATTTTTTCCTGTAGGGTTGTTTGAGCTCCTTATACATTCTGATTATTAATCCCTTGTCAGATGAGTAGTTTGCGAATATTTCCTCCCATTCTGTGGGTTTTCTCTTCACTTTGTTGATTATTTCCTTTGCACAGAAGCTTTTTAACTTGATGTGATCCCATTTGTCCATGTTTGCTTTGGTTGCCTCTGCTTGTGGGATATTACTCAAGAAATTGTTGCCCAGACCAATGTCCTTGAGAGTTTCTCCAATGTTTCCCTGTAGTATTTCAACTCTAGAATTTCTGCTTGATTCTTTTTAATAATTTCAATCTCTTTGTGAAATTTACCTGATAGAATTCTGAATTTCTTCACTGTGTTATCTTGAATTTCTTCTCATTTCCTTAACACAGCTATTTTGAATTATCTGTAAGAAAGATCAAATATCGGCCGGGCGCGGTGGCTCACGCCTGTAATCCCAGCACTTTGGGAGGCCGAGGCGGGTGGATCATGAGGTCAGGAGATCGAGACCATCCTGGCTAACAAGGTGAAACCCCGTCTCTACTAAAAATACAAAAAAAAAATTAGCCGGGCGCGGTGGCGGGCGCCTGTAGTCCCAGCTACTGGGGAGGCTGAGGCAGGAGAATGGCGTGAACCCGGGAAGCGGAGCTTGCAGTGAGCAGAGATTGCGCCACTGCAGTCCGCAGTCCGGCCTGGGCGACAGAGCGAGACTCCGTCTCAAAAAAAAAAAAAAAAAAAAGAAAGATCAAATATCTCTGTTTCTTCAGTATTGGTCCCTGGTGCCTTCAGTTCATTTGGTGAGCTCATGTTTTCCTGGATGGTCTCAGTGTTTTTAGGTGTTCATTGGTGTCTGGGCATTGAAGAATTAGGCATTTATTGCAGTTTTTGCAGTCTGGTCTTGTTTATGCCATCCTTCTTGTCCCTTCCTGTCCCTGTTCCCATTTCCAGGGGGAGCTTCTAAGTGTCTTGAGCGTCCTTCACAACATAGACTATACAAATAGGCACTTATGGATACACTTCTTACTTTTAACTCTCTGCATATTTGCATTGTTTTTGCAGGCAAGCCGATTAGAAGGCCAACTAAAAAAAACATATCAATGAGTACTTAGTAATAATATGGGTTAAGTAGGATGAGGTTTTGAATTTTTTTTTTTTCAGTCAAATGGCATCTTAGGTACCACTGCTGGGTGTCCTCAAAATATGCACTTCTAGTCATTCTCTTAAGAGCTGAGATCTGGATTCTGTGTGTGTGAGTGTGTGTGTGTGTGTGTGTGTGTGTGTGTGTGTGTGAGAGAGAGATTCTTAGGCTACCAAGATGTTTTTGGCCCATAGCTAAGTGGGTTGCTTGCCTGGTGGTGGAGGAATTGCAGGCCAGGCAGTGTGTCCTGTGGCCTTGGAATGGACGAGAAAGGCCTGGGCTCCACTGAAAATGACAAGTTGTTTCACTCCACGGTCTCTGCTGCACCAGAGGGTGCGTGTGCCTTCATTCTTCAGCTGCTGTTAAAGCAAAGCTAGGCTGTGCTTCCGTGGCAGCCCTTTCCTTGTATTGCATTTCACCTTGCATGTTTGTGTGAGTGTAGAGACTATAATTTGATATGGCTTCTGAAGGCTTACAGTCAGGAAGTGGCAGCCACATCTTGTGTCAGTTGACTGTGGCCTCGGTCCTCTTACTCATCCATCATTCATTCAACAAGTATTTATCAAGCATTTACTATGTATGAAACAATTGACCCAGATACTGGGAAAACTGGTGAACAAAACCAGAATGTCTAATCAGGTGCATGCTGGCTGGGAAGGGCGAGGGTAGATGCTGAGAGGTTCTGCTTTTGAATGTTTGATACTGTGATTTCCCTTCCAAAAATACACAGTGTCGGCTTCCCTCTTGCAAGTTTTACCTCCTAAATTCCTCTCTGATCCTTCCTCTCCTTTATGCTTCTGTTACTGCCTCTTCAGGTGCTTCCCCTCACTTTGGCCAATTTAGCAGTCTCCTAACTGATCTCCCTGACTTCACCCTTCAGCCCTGTTTCACACGCATTGTTGACAATGCCACTTAACACAAAGCTGGGTGTGTCATTTCCATGCCTGAGACTTTTCATGGACTCTCTATTGTCTATTGCATACAATCCAAGCTCCTTAACTAGCCATAGGGGCCCTCAATGACATTGCTCACACGTGTCTGTGGACACATGGAGATGATCTTCAAGAACAGTTCTCCCTTCAAAGACAGACTTGCTGCCCAGCTGTGAGGAGTGTGGTCAGCAGACAGCCTTCAGCTGTCACCTCCTTTAGGGTTTACCGTAGCTGCAGAGAGCCTCCTTCCCCAAGGCAGTCCCTTTTCCTGGATAGCCCACACCTGGTGATTGAGGACCTGGTGATTGAGGCAGGGGTATAAAGACTGTCCATTTTAACCTGATATGGGACAGCTCCGATGGCCAACAGTCATTCCAAATCTCCCTGCTGGGTTGGTGCTACGGTGTGAAAGTGTCCTTTCCAAAAGTCATGCGTTGAAACTTCATAGCCAGTGCGATAGTATTATGAGGTGGGGCCTTTAAGAGGTGATTAGGCCACGAGGCTCCTCCCACGTGAATGGGATAAGACCCTTTATAAAAGAGGCTTCATGCAGTGTGTGGCTTTCTTGCTCTTTCACCTTTCCCCATGTGAAGGTGCGGTGTTCTTGTCCCCCAAGGGGATGCAGAGACCAGGTCCTCACTAGCTGGCAGCTTGGTTTGGATTTCCCAGCCTCCAGAACTGTGAGAAATTATTTTCTGTTTTTTATAAATTGCCCAGTTTCAGGTATTTTGTTATAGAAGCAGAAAATGTGCTGAGATAATCGGCTTTCTGGGAGGTCAGCCTGCAATTTGACTTCCTCCTCTGCCCAATCAATCTCCTTCCCTTGTTCCTTCACAGGTGTTGTTCCCTAGTAAACACTTTTCACTCCAAACTCTTTCTCATACTTGCTTCTGGAGCCCCTGGCCTGTGACACTGCCTGGATAGCGTCACTGCCGCCGCTCTTATTTATACCAGACTCCCCATCACTCCCCGCACACACCCTGTTTCAAATCCCTGTGCTTTCATGTGTGCTATTCCCTTTGCCTCAACTTTTCTTCTCAATTTTTTTTCTTTGGTCAACAAAATTTCTGTTTTTCCTGTCCCTTCAAACCCAGCTCAGGGAATATCTCCTACCTGGCTCCTTGTTGCTGGGCTTGGCTTGCTTCTTTGTTCTCTCCCTCCTCCCTTTGCTTAGAGAGTACTGCTGTAGTTGGTGGGTACAGTATTGTATACAGAAGTGTATTTGGTACCCAGAAGTGATGGATTCCAGAGCAGAAAGGGACCCAGGACTACCTGACATGGTAGTTGTGATTCTGGAGCAGGAGCTGTGATGAACACGGGAGAGCAGATATGCCTTCAACATACTGACTTCATTTCCTTTGGGTACATACCTAGAATTGGGATTACTGAAACATGGTAGCTTCATTTTAAAAAAGTAATTTTTTTAGAGGCAAGGTCTCACTCTTCCGCCCAGGCTGGAGTGCAGTCGCACAGTCATAGCTCACTGCAGCCTTGCCCTCCTGGGCTCAAGAGATCCTCTTGCCTTAACCTCCCCAGGAGCTAGGACTACAGGTGTGTGCCACCATGCCCAGCTAGCTTTTTAAATTTTGTGTTTGTAGAGATGGGGTATCACCATGTTGCCCAGGCTGGTGTCAAACTCCTGGCTGTAAGTGATCCTCGTGCCTCATCCTCCTAAAGTGTTGGGATTACAGGCACGAGCAACTGTGCCCAGCAGTGGTTCGATTTTTAGTTTTTAAAGAACCTCCATACCATCTTCCATAATTGTTATACTAATTTACATTCCCACCAACAATGCTTAAAAGTTACCTTTTCTCCACATCCTCCGATACTCGTCATTCATCTTTATGGTGAAGGCTGTTCTAACAAGCATGAAATGATACCTCATGGTGATTTTGATGTACATTTTTCTAATGATTAGTGATGCTGAGCATATTTTCATGTACCTATTGGCCATTTGTATGTCATCTAAAGAAACATCAGTTCATATATCTATAAAGAACATCATTGCTATTTTGATATGGATTTTTATGCCTTTGTAGATTGCTTTGAGTAACATGGACATTTTAGTAATGGTAATTCTTTCAATCCATGAACAGGGAATATTTTCTCATTTACTATTCTCTTTTCAATTTTTTCTTCAATGTTTTATAGTTTTTATTTTAGAGATCTTTCATCTCTTTGGTTAAATGTACTCCAAGGGATCTTTGGTTTTGGTAGCTATTGTAAATGGTATGGTTTCTCCATTTTTTTTTCAGATAGTTCACTATTCATGTATAGATGTTTCTGTTTTTATGCCAGTACCATAGTATTTTGATTAAAATTGTTTTATAATATGTTAATATGTTTTGAAATCAGAGAGTGTGATGCCTTCAGCTTTGTTCTTTTGGCTGAAGTTTATTTTTGGCTATTGGGGTCTTTTGTGGTTTTATATGGAATGGTTTGTTTTTGTTTATTAAAAATTTTATTTTAAAAAATTTTCAATATTGAGGGTACATATGCAGGTTTGTTGCATGTGTATATTGCACCCAGCCAGAGAGCATAGTACCAAACAGGTAGTTTTTCAACCCATGCCTCCCTCCCCTCCTCCCTCACCATTAGTCTGCAGTTTCTGTTGTTCTCCTGTTTGTGTCCATGTGTCTTCAATGTTTAGCTCCCACTTATAAGTGAAAACATGTGGTATTTGGTTTTCTGTTCCTGAGTTAGTTTGCTTAGGATTTTGGCCTTCAGCTCCATCCATGTTGTTGGAAAGGATGTGACTTCCTTCTTTTTTATGACTGCATAATATTCCATGGTATATATAAGCATTTTCTTTATCCAGTCAACGACTGATGGGCACCAAAGTTGAATCCGTGTCTTTGCTGTTGTGAATCGCATTGTGATGGACATATGCATATATATGTCCTTATGGTAGAATGATTTATATACCCGGTAATGGAAATGCTGAGTCAAATGGTAGTTCTGTTGTAAGTTCTTTGAGAAATCTCCAAACTGCTCTTCACAGTTGCTGAACTAATTTACATTCCCACCATCAGCATATAAGCGTTCCCTCCCTTTTCTCCACAGCCTTGCCAGCATCTGCTTTTTTTGGACTTTTTATTAATAGCCATTCTGACTGGTGTGAGATGGTGTCTCACTGTGGTTTTGATTTGCATTTCTCTGATGATTAGTGATGAGCATTTTTTTTCATATGTTTGTTGTCCAATCCTGTCCCTTCCCTTGAGAAGTGTCTTTTCCTTTGCCCATTTTTTAAATGTGGTTATTTTTTGCTTGTTTATTTAAGTTCCTTACAAATACTGGATATTAGACCTTTGTCAGATGCACAGTTTGCAAATATTTTCTCCCGTTCTGCAGGTTGTCTGTTTACTCTTTCGATAGTTTCTTTTGCTGTGTAGATGATCTTTAGGTAATTAGGTCCCACTTTTCAATAGTTTGACCTATTCTTTTCTTATTTGGAGGCCTTTTATTTCTCTTGCCTGATCGCTGTGGCTAGGCCTTCCAGTACTATGTTGAATAGGGTGGTGACAGTGGGCATCCTTGTTTTGTTCCAGGTCTCAAGGGGAATGGCTCCAGCTTTTGTCCATTCAGTATGATGTTGGCTGTGGGTTTGTCATAGATGGCTCTTATTATTTTGAGGTATGTTCCTTGGATGCCTACTCTGTTGAGGAGTTTTATCATGAAGGGATGCTGGATTTTACCAAAACCTGTTTCTGTTTCTATTGAGATGATCATATGGTTTTTGCTTTTAATTCTGTTTATGTGATAAATCACATTGATTGATTTGTGTATGTTGAACCAGCCTTGCATCCCAGGAAGTAAAGTTGGGCAAGTCCAGATGGTCATTTTACAGGTAATTGCTGACATGCAGTTGCCTCTCAACCTGGGGAAGACTAATGAAAGCAACTGGGTTGTGTGGGAAAGGTGGCTCAGGATTTGAGCCTGAAAGGCCTATGGACAATGTTTCCTACAGCACGATGTTGTCGACTAGTTTCTTCTGGTGTGGCACCTCTATTGGCCAGAATACAGAGCAATTCCCAAGATCTGTGTGCTGGCTACTTTAAGTCCTACCTTCATTCTTTGTTTCTAACTGACCCCAGGTGGTCTCACTCTGCCTGCGCTCTCTCTGTGTCCCCTGGGATGAGACAAGCATGAGCTTGCCTCCTCCTGCAAAGGATCCCAGAATGAAGGGGAAACTGAGTATCCGCTTCCAATTCACTTTTCTTATTGTAGAAACTGTGGGTCTAGAACATTCTCTGTGTGGTGTGGTGCTGACTTTGGGGCGGGTGAAATGGTCAGGGAACAATTTCTGTTACTCTTTGATGATGGCTCTTCTCAGTTGTGTGGCCCAGGGTGGTGTCTCAGCCTCAGTCCCAATTCCTGGAATGTTCAAGATGTTTTTCTAAAAATTTGAAGTTCCAGGATACATGTGCAGGATGTGCAGATTTGTTACGTAGGTAAACATGTGCCATGGTGTTTTGCTGCACCTGTCAACCCATCACTGAGGTACTAAGCCCTGCATGCATTAGCTCTTTATCCCGATTCTCTCCCTCCACCGCCCCCACTCCCCCAACAGGACCCAGTGTGTGTCATTCCTCTCCCGGTGTCCTTGTGTTAGGATGGTATTCTTGATTGTGGGTGCTTCTAGTTGGATTTCTGTGTGGGGGAGTGAAAGTGGAGAACTCCTATTCTGCCATCTTGCTTATGTCATTCTCTTCTTGACCAATTTTTAATAAAAAATATATGATTCAGATTTTCTATGTGTTTAGAGGGGAAAGAAGTATTGTTATGGACTGAATGTTTGTGTCCCTGCCAAATCCATATGTCGAAGCTCTACTGCCCCATGTGATAGTACCTTTGGGAGGTAACTGGGTTTAGAGGAGCTCATGATGGTGAGCCCCATAATGGGATTAGTGCTCTTATAAGAAGAGGAGGAGACCAGTGCTTTTCCTTTCTCTCGTTGCATACACAAAGAAGAGGTCATGTGAGCACACAGCAAGATGGTGGCTGCCTACAAGCTAGGAAGAAGTCTTACCAGAACCCAACCATGCTGGCATCCTGATAGTGACTCCTAGCTTCCACAAGTGTGAGAAAATCAATCTGTTGTTTAAGCCACCCAGTGTATGGTATTTGTTATAACATCCCTAATTGACTAAGACAAATGTGTTTTCCACATCTAATCATTCATCCAGTTTCAAACCCAATGGCAAACCAAAGCTTCAGATCCTTTAAAAACTAAAAAAGTAACTATGAATAATTTCTTTTTTTTTTCTTTTTTTTTGCTTTGTAAATCAACTATTTTATTATTTTATTTTCCATAAGTCGTTGTCGTTGGGGTACAGGTGTATTTGGTTACATGAGTAAGTTCTTTAGTGGAGATTTATGAGATCCTTGTGCACCCATCATCCAAGCAGTATACACTGCATCATATTTGTTGTCTTTTATCCCTCGCCCCCCTCCCAGTCTTCTCCCCAAGTCTCCAAAATCCATTATATCATTTTTATGGCTTTGTGTCCTCATAGCTTAGCTCCCACATATCATTGAGAACACATGATCTTTGGTTTTCCATTCTTGAGTTACTTCACTTAGAATAATAGTCTCCAGTCTCATCCAGGTCATTGCAAATGCTATTAATTCATTCCTTTTTATGGCTGAGTAGTATTCCATTATATATATGCCATAGTTTCTTTACCCATTCGTTGATCAATGGGCATTTGGGTTGGTTCCACGATTTTGCATTTGTGAATTGTGTTGCTATAAACATGAGTGTGCAAGTACATTTTTCAAATAATGACTTCTTTTCCTCTGGATAGATACCCAGTAGTGGATTGCTGGATCAAATGGTAGTTCTATTTTTAGTTCTTTAAGGAAACTCCACACTGTTTTCCATGGTGGCTGTACTAGCTTACAATCCCACCAGCAGTGTAGAAGTGTTCCCTGATCACTGCATCCATGCCAACATCTCCTGTTTTTCTATTTTTTGATTATGGACATTCTTGCAGGAGTATGATAATTTTTTGATTATGGCTGCTTTTTGCAGGAGTACAGTGGTGTCACATTGTGGTTTTGATTTGCATCTCCCTGATCATTAGTGAAGTTGAGCATTTTTTCAAATGTTTGATGACAATTAGTTTATCTTCTTAGAATTGTCTATTCATGTCCTTAGCCCACTTTTTGATGGGATTGTTTGTTTTATTCTTATTGATTTGTTTGAGTTTGTTGTAAATTCTGGATATTAGTCCTTTGTCAGATGTATACATTATGAAGAGTAAATCAACTATTGACCCTGATTTAGGCAGTGTGGTTTATATTCTGAAAATGACTCACAGATTTTGAAAAAATTACATAAAAATCTTATAATTTTCTTTCCGTCACACTTTCTCAGCATTTTTGCCATAACATTTTCTTAAACTAAATGAATTTGAATAACTGCCCTGTGATTTACTTAGGAAAATTGCTTATGTATCTGTTTCCTCATTTGTAAAATAAAAATAACAAAACCTTGTTCATAAGATTGTTTAAAGGACTCAATGAGAAACATTTGAAAGTCCTGTAATCTGGCAGATGTCAGAAATATGATTTCCTTCCTTTCTTGACACCAGTGAGCATAATAGAAAAGTAATAGAAATAATGCTTCAGCTAATTTTGGTTAGAAATAACCATGACTTTTGTCTCTACAGATCCATGAATAGATGAGTTTTAAAGTCTGATTCATTCTTTAAAGTCTTTATTAATTCAGTGGCATAATAAAAACCTCACAGATATAAGCTATCTTTTTATATCTCATATTTTGACACCGTATCAAACCCTTTTCCAGGTACCATTTAACTCACTCAATTGAGAAAGATTGCATGCCTAGATGGCTGAAGACTTTTATTCCTTTCACATACAGTTAAAATTGGGAGTAAGTGCTTCGCAATAGTGTAGATGATGTAGTGTAAGGTAGAATAGCACTTAACCATGGCATAAATTCAATTATACTTGTGTCTTATAAGGTATAATTAGGCAAAAATTAGATTCTAATTTTAGTTTATATAATTACTGTGGTAAAAGATGTATTATAATTTTTAAGTACTGAGTTTTTTTTCTGGGTTTTTGCATTCTGATTCTCTGTTACAGTTTTTTCTTCCCATAGTGGTCTTCTGTCCTATCCTCCCTTTATAAATTTGCAATATACATTTTTAAATACAATTTCTGCATAGTTCCATTTTCTATGAAAGAGCAAACAGTTCAGCTAGGAAACGGGAACAATATCAGCCTTTAGATAGTGTGGGTGAAACAGAGTCACTTCCCTTTCAGCTCAGCTTTGATTTCAAGTTACTTAAACTCTACCTGAAAATGATTTTATGTCATATACTTGTACAATGTAAACATCATCCAAATTAAAAATGTTAAAGCCTCAATGTCTTCCTAAAGTATTTATGAAAATAAAACAAGAGACTATTTCTGATTCTATTATCAATATTGAGAAGGAATGGTCAGTAAGTATATGACGTTTTATAGTCTTTGATCACGAAAAGAGGAAGGTAATTTGAAAGTGTGTTCTATTTGTAACCTTATCTGCTGGAATTTATGTGTTATCTGTTGGCATTGCCAGCACATATAAGGCTATATGTTTTAAATAACTAATTTGTTAAAGAACCATTAAAAATATGAGTTTGAAAATAACAAAGGAATTTAATACTACTTAATAAATATTTTAGGGTTAAAAATAAGTGTTACATTTTCTTTAGCGGCATATTTCAAGCATATAATAAAATAAAATAATTTTAGACACATATATACCATCCACAAAATTAAAAATATTAATTTGTTACCTGATCATGTCACTTCTTTCTGTAAAAAAGATTTAAAATATTATAGTTAACACTAAAGCATTATCCCTATTCCTTTCCCTCATTTTGTTCTCCTTTTCAAAGGAATTGATTTCCGAATTTGAGAACAATTTTCAAGTATGTTTGTACTTTAGGAGAACAGTTCTCAAACTTTTGGTTTCAGGATGCATTTACCTGCTTAAAATTTTTGGGACCAAAAGAGCCATGAGCTGTGTTTATATGGGTTTTATCTACTGATATTCTCATATTAGAAAGACATTTAAAATATTTATTTACTAATTCCCTCATAAAACAATAATATTACCATGACATGTTTTTATAGTAGGATTTTAAATAGAAATAACTATATTTTTTAAAAAAATTTATTGAAGAATAGCATGGTTTTACTTTTTTTCCAATCTTTTTAATGTCTGGCTTAACACAAGGGAGCTAGATTCCTGTATCAGCTTCTGCATTTATTTGTAGTGATATGTTATTTTGGTTGACATGTATGAAGAAAATCCAGCCTTATACAGATGTGTAATTGCAAAAGGGAGGATTATGTTAATAACCTTTTCAATTAATATTATTTGATACTACATCAAAACATGATAAGTGGTAGTTTCTTAAAGGTTAGTAGCAATGCAGAATCTGATAACACATGAATAGACATTTTATCCCCTATGTCATTAAAATCCATTGGCTTCTTTTGCATTTTAAGTTAATCTTTTATTTATGTGTAACTTTTTCACATAATGCATTGGTCATTTGAAAAATACTGGCTCACTGAGTTATACAGATCTTCCAGTGTTGACACATTTCATATATATATGAAATATATATCCATCACCATGATGGACGAATTTTCCAAAGGGGTGAGATTGCTTGATAGACCAAATATTTATTACTGGCAACAAATACTGTCAGTTTTTCTTACAGCGACAGGCTCACTTCATTTATTTTGTGGCAACGCCTGCCAAATACCAATTCTGAATAACTATAGTTTATCAGTAATTCTAACAAATAAAAATAATGTTCCATGAAATGGCTGGTTGAGCCCAAATTCAATCATTCAAGTACTTCCTCACAAGACAATCATTGTACTCTGAGATGCAGAAGTGCTCTCTGGTACTAGCCATTATATTATACAAAATATTAAAAAGACATACATGAAAAGATGTGATTTAATAAAAATTTATTGCTTTATCAAGGACAACATTTGTTAAGAATTTTGTCTGTCTCTGCATCTATTGACATGTTGATTTTTTCTTTTTATTTGTCAATATAATAAACACTTATGGATTAAAAAGTATCAAATTATCTTTATATACCTTTGAAATATCCTAATGGGTACTTATGCAGTATTATTATTTTTAAATTCTCTGTTGGATTCAATTTACTAGTATTTTCTTTGGGATACCTGTATTTATATTTTTAAGTGAAATTAGCTCTTGCACTTTTTCTTGTCCTCTTTTTCTGCTTTGATATCAGGTGATAATTATGACATAAAACTATTTGGGAAGTTTTATTTCTTTTTCTATTCTCTGCAAATTTTTTTTAAAAAAAACTGGATGATTCGTAACTTCGTAAAAGTTGCTTATCAATGGATTTATATTTGTGATGTGTACATATTCATATATATATGAATATTTAAAATGATTGCTTAAATTCTAGTTATAGGACTATTTAATTTTTCCATTTCTTCTTGAGTCAGCTTTGAAAAGTCACATTTTTTTCAAGGATTTATTTATTTTGTCAAAATGTTCAAAATTATTGGCATGTAGATGTTGATGATATTCCCTCTTCATCACCCTAATCTTGATGTTATCTTTAGTTTTTACCACCATTCTTCCCACTGTAGTCTTTACTCATGTCTTTTCTTTCTTTGCTCAATGTTCCAGGGGTTTGTTCACTTCATTTTATTTTAAAAGAACCTATCTTTGGCTTTTAAAATCCTCTTCATTGTATTTTTGTTTTATATTTTATTGAGTTCGATTCCCAATTTATTTATTAAAATATCTCCTTTCCTCTATGTTCTCTGGGATCACTAAATTGTTCATTTGTTCCAGAATCCTCCCCTTCTACTGGCCATACTACCACTGCTATTTATGAATATGCATTTATGTTTGAGAGTTTTGTTTTCAGGGGTGGATGGAATTCTTGCATAAAGAGAAGGAAGGTGAGGAACTACAGAAATAAAAGATAGGATGGTCTTTCCAAGGGCAAGGTCTGACTTCCTACAGAGAAAAGGAATGCAGGGAAAAGGCAAGAGAGTGTTGCTTTGAGGCCCCAAAGATAAAATCAACCCAGAGCACAAGAGGAATCTTGTTGGCATTTCTGCATGAACCATATGAGCTGTGTCCAGAGTGACTATATGTCAACATTGAAGTGGTGCGTGTTGTACCTGTTAGAACATCAAGAAAGGGGAAGCCTCACCCAGGGCATCTGTGGTAGGGGTAGTGCAAAGTGTCTTCTCTAAAGAGCTTGAAGATAGCAGGCTCCTTAGAGAAGCCAAACCTCTGGGTCATAAGTGAATGGGTGCTAGAAAACATGAGAGCCCTCCCTAAGCTATGACTGTGTATATATAGATAAGCCTAGGACTGTGGGCCTATGATCAAGCAGGTTTAAATATTTGACCCTGTAAAATCCTGGTAGTAGTGTTAGCATGACATTATTTATTGCCAAGGCTGGTGAGGTCTGGGAGGCACTGGGATACACATTGTGTCTTTTCTTCACCACAGGTAGATATGCTCATCCTGATCTGGAGCTGTACTCTGACTGTTGCATATCCCAAAGCATAATGCCTTATGTGTGGAGAAGGATATTTCCGGTCTCCACTTCAATCCCCTTTCCAAAATTACCTTCATTTAGGCCTCTGAAAGGGTCTCCATAGGACTCTTCCCGGAGCCCCATGCATGTCTTTGTTCCTCAGCCTGTAGATGAAAGGGTTCATCATAGGTGTCAGCACAGCATACATCACTGTGGCTACTGAGTCCTTCATGGAGTAGGTATGGAGGGGCTGCAGGTACACCATAGCAAGCATCCCATAAAAGAGGGAGACCACACCCAAATGGGAGGCACAGGTAGAGAAGGTTTTGTATTTCTTAGAGGCTGAGGGCATTTGAAGGATGGTTCTGACAATACGTACATAGGATGTGGTCATGAACCCTAAGGGGGTGAGGAAGATGAAGCAGCCAGTGGCAATCAACACTGTGTGAATGATGTGGGTGTTGGAACATGCCAGCCACAGCAGGATGTACATGTCACAGAAGAGGTAGTGGATCTCTCAAGGCCCACAGAAGGTCACCCTGGTCAGGAGGAAGGTGAGGAGGAGGCCATAGAGAACAGACAGCCCCCAACACAAGGAGAGGAGCAAGACACAGAGCCCAGGGCTCATGGCTGTGACATAGTGGAGGGGGCAGCAGATGGCCACATAGCGATCATACGCCATCACGGCCAGGATGAGGTTGTCCAGGGTCACCAAGGAGACCAGGAAGTAGAGCTGTGTCAGACACCCTGCATAGGAGATGGCTTTGTTCTGGGACTGGAAGTTCACCAGCATCTTGGGGATTGTGTTGGTGACAAAGAAGAGGTCAGTGAAGGAGAGGTTGGCCAGGAAGAAGTACATGGGGGTGTGCAGGTGGGAATCAGAGCTGATGGCCAGGATGATGAGCACATTTCCCAGCACCGTGACCAGGTACATGGACAGGAACATCCAAAACAGGATCTGCTGCTGCTCAGGACTCTCTGAGATCCCCAGGAGAAGGAACTGTGAGTTCTCACTCTGGTTATCTCCATCCATTCCCCCAACTTTCTGTAACATTAACACCAACAAATGTTTATTAAGTGCCCTCATTTGAATAAGGACACGAAGATAAGCAAAATCAACTCTTTTCTTAGAATTAAAATATCTTGGACTAAACTTTAAAAATAATAAAAGCAACAGGTCATTATAGGCACAAAAATAGAATATGGAAAGTATGCAACTTATTTATTCCAGCAACTTCTCACCTGACATAATGAATATTATAAAAACAATGTCTAAGCCTTATTTTTAATCCTGCCATCTTCCAATAGTCTTGAAGTGTTTAAAGTTTAGTGTGTTATGTTATGATTTTATACAGGGTTTTAAGTGGTATTTAATACAGGTATATGCATTACAAGAAAAGATTATTGTCCAATTGGAGGAAGTGGAGAAATAAAATATTGGAAAGGAGAAAGAAGAATTATTATTACTTGTTGATATAATGATCTCTCTGGGAAATCTAAGAAAATGAGTGGAAACATCATTAGAAAAAAAAGATGTCTGTGATTAGTCAGTGAAGTGACCCATGACAAAATGAACAGGCTCTCAGCTTTCATGGTCCCCGTAAGCCACGTAGTGCAGTGCTAAAGACCGTCCTGTGGGAACTCTTTTTTTTTTTTTTTTTAATTTTAATTTTAGATTTGGGGGTGCATGTGCAGATTTGTTACAAGGATATATTGAGAGATGCTGACGTTTGGGCATCTATTGATCCCGAACTCTTAAATTCAAGTCAAAGCACTGCCTCTTCTTGGCTGTAATGCCTCAGGCAGGTCACTTGTGTTCTTTAAGACTCAGGTTTTTTAAATGTGAAAAATGGGTTGGGGTGAGGAGAAAATTAAGGAATAAAGTACTTAACACAAAGAGCTGACATGTGGAGAGCACTCAATAAATAGTACCTGTTATTATATATGAATGATAAGAATACTAAGATTAAAATATGAAACACATTATCAGCAAACAATCTATGCATTAAGATATTAATAAGAATCAGGTATGGTCTTCAAATTCTCTATTGAGGCATAAAGTAAAAATTTATTAAATGGACAGATATAACCAAGATTCTAGATAAAAAAGATGAGATGTTGCAAAGGTGCATATTCTGAGTTGTTCTAAAATTTAACCTATTTGAAAGTCAAAATTGTAACAGGGTTTTAAAGAAACAAGAGCTAGTTTAAATTTCCTATAAAATAGGAATGAAAATAAGCTAGGAAAATGTTGAAGACAAGGAGACACTTGCTCTATTAAGAACTTTAAAATAGTGGGGGTACTGGTGCTAGAATGAACAGATCAGTAGAACTGTCTAGAAACTTAAGAAACAGCCAAGTTCATGTGGAATGTGACACTTTAATTCACCAGGGAAAGGTTGCATTATGCAATAAATGACATTAGGACAACTGTCTACTTATTTTTTGGGAAAAGTTACATCAATGTTTTGTATTTTATCAAACATACTAAAACATACCAAACATACTAGTATATTTTATCAAAATATACTAAAGATTAAAAAATTATTTTTTCCTTTTGAAAACTGAATGTATATGGAATAAAACATTAAAAATCTGAAAAGTTATAAAGGAGATAATAAAAATTGTATCAAATTCCAGCATGTAGAGTTAGATAACCATGGCTAATGTCTTTTTAGCCGAGACATGAAGGACCACAAAAAGCCAGTCTTGTAACACAATAGGCAAAGAGCTTTGCAGAAAAACAGCCACCCTGAGCAGAGCCCCTGAGCAGGGAAAGGTCGTTCTTGTGTTTAAGGAAGTAAATATAGGCCAGCATGTCTGGGAGCAAAGAGGATATTGGTGAGACAGGATGTTGTGCAATGGCCAGTAATGAACTGTAAAGCAGAAGTGGCTGTGCATATTTAGCAACTATTGTTTTTCTTCATAGTTTATCAACAGTATTTAAAAAATCAGGTATGGCTGTTGCATTTTTAATAAAACACTTTTTCAGTGTCACTCAAGATACATTATGTGAATAGCCTTCTTAATATGGAAGCATACTTGTATGCCCATTATGAACCACTGAATCAATTTGCTAATATTTTATTTAGACTTTTGTAGTCACAATTATTCGTGAAGTTTGTCTACGGTCTTTTTTGGTATCTGCCTTTTTAGTACAATTTGGCTTGCATCAGAGTCCATACTAAACTTGTATTCACTTATTGTCAAGTCTAACATTTAAAATTTCCTGCAATTTCTTTAATGGCTTACAAGAGAAATTTTAAAAATATTTTGTCGAATTCTTTTTGTATACATTTATTTATTTAGAGATTGGGTCTCACTCTGTTGCCCAGCCTGGAGTACAGCAGTGTCATCACAGCTCACTGTAGCCTTGAACTCCTGAGCTCAAGCCATCCTCCCACCTCAGCCTCCCGAGTAGCTAAGACCACAGGCGTGTGTCACCATGGCTGGCTGATTTAATTTTTTTCTGTAGAAACAGGGTCTCGCTATGTTGTCCAGGCTGGTCTCCAACTCCTGGCCTCCAGCAATCCTTCTGCCTTGTCTTCCCAAAGTGGTTTGATTATAGTCATGAGCCACTGAGCCTGGCCTTGGAATTCTTTTTCTAAATAAAAATAGCTTCAGCAGGGTGCAGTGACTCATGCCTGTAATCCCAGCACTTTGGGAGGCAGAGGTATGCATATCATTAGGGCCCAGGAGTTCCAGACCCAGCCTGGGCAACATGGCAAAACCCCATCTCTACTAAAAATACAAAATTAACTGGGTGTGGCTGCAGATGCCTGTAGTCCCAGCTACTTGGGAGGCTGAGGTGGTAGGATCACCTGAGCCTGGGAGGCCGAGGCTGCAGTGAGCCACGATTGTGCCACTGCCCTCCAGCCTGGGCAACAGAGCAAGACCCTGTCTCAAAAAAATGGCTCTAAAAAACTATATTGTAATCTATTGATTATAGACAAAAAATTTCCAACGTGAACAATTAAAGCAATACCAAAAAATTTATACAATAAGTAAAAGTCGCCCCAAATTCTGTCAGAGCAGCCACTGTTTACACTTTGGTGAAGATACTTTCCGTTTGATTCATTCAGTCATCTTTATTCACTCAGCAATGTGATGGGGAACTTCCTCCAAGTCAATATTGTCATTAGCTATTTTTGTTGTTGTTGTTGTTCAGGGACCTTATTTTTCAGCCTGCATGATAGTTGTTTTTTTCCGAGATGGAGTCTCTTGCTGTCACCCAGGCCGGACTGCAGTGGCACAATCTCGGCTCATTGCAACCTCTGCCTCCCGGCTTTAAGTGATTCTCCAGCCTCAGCCTCCCGAGTAGGTGGGACTATAGGCGCCCACGACCATGCCCAGCTAATTTTTGTACTTTTAGTGGAGAAGGGGTTTCACCATGTTGGCCAGGCTGGTCTTGAACTCCTGACCTCAAGTGCTCCACCTGCTTTGGCCTCCCGAAGTGCTGGGATTACAGGTGTGAGCTGCATGATAGTTTTTAAATCTTAATATTTAAAAAAAAACAACCCAGCTACAGGCGTACCTTGGAGATATTGTGAGTTTGATTCCAGATCACCTCAATAGAGCAAATATTGCAATAAAGCGCATCACACAGTGTTGTGGCTTCCCAGTGTATACGTGTTACGTTGACACTATACTGTAGGCTATTAAGTGTGCAGGAGCATTATGTCTAAAAATGTACATTCCTTAATTAAAAATACCTTATTGCTGAGAAATGATAGCAATCACCTGACCCTTCAGCAAGTTATAATCCTTTTGCTGGTGGAAGATCTCACCTTGATGCTGACGGCTGCTGACTTACCAGTGTGGTGGTTGCTGAAGTTTGGGGTGGCTTTGGCAATTTCTTCAAACAAGAACGATAAAGTTGGCCATATCAGTTGACTCTTCCCTTTAGGAAACATTTCTCTGTAGCATGCGATGCTGCCTGACAACATTTTACCTACAGTAGAACTTCTTTCAAAATTGGAGGCCATCCTCTCAAACTCTGCCACTGCCTTATCAAATAAGTTCATGTCTATGCTGTATTCTTTGTTGTCATTTCAACCGTGTTCACAGCATCTTCACCAGCAGTGGTGTTCATCTCGAGAAACTGCTTTCTTTGCTCATCCGTAAGAAGCAACTACTCATCGGTCCAAGTTTTATTACGAGATTGTAGCTCTTCAGTCACATCTTCAGGCTCCACTTCTAATTCTGTTCTCTGCTCTTTCCATCACACCTGCAGTTACGGAACTCTTCCTCCCAGCGAAGTCTCGAACTCCTCAAATTCATCCATGAGCATTGGAATCAACTTTTCCCAACTCCTATTAATGTTGATATTTTGACCTCCTCCCATGAATCATGAATTTCTTAATGGCATCTACAATGGTGAATCCTTTCCAAGCTTTCCCTTACTTTGCCCAGATCCATCAGAGGAATCACTATCTATGGCATCTGTAGCCTTACAAAATGTGTTTCTTATATAATCATAAGTCTTGAAAGTAAAAATTACTCCTTGATCCCTGGGCTGCAGAATGGATATTGTGCTAGAGACATGAAAACAGCATCAACCTTCTTGCACATTGTCATCAGAGTGCTTGGGTGACCATGAACATAATACTTTGAAAGGAATATTATTTTCTGAGTAGTAGATCTCAACAGTGGCTTAAGATACTCAGTAAACCATGTTATAAACAGATGTGCTGTCATTCAGGCTTTGTTGTTGCATTTATAGAGCACAAGCAGAATAGATTTAGCCTAATTCTTAAGGGCCCTAAGAGTTTTGAAATGGTTAGTGAGTACTGGCTTCAACTTAGTCACCAGCTGTATTCGCTCATAACAAGAGAATCAGCCTGTCTTTGAAACTTTGAAGCCAGGCATTGACTTCTCTTCTCTAGCTATGAAAGTCCTAGATGACATCTTTTTCCAGGAGAAAGCAGATTTGTTTACATTGAAAATCTGTTGTTTAATGTACTCACCATCGTCAGTTATCTCATCTAGATCTTCTGGATAACTCGTTGCAGCTTCTACATCATCACTTTCTGCTTCACCTTGCACTTTTATGTTATGGAGAGGGCTGCTTTCCTTTAACCTTAGGAGCCAACTTTTTCTAGCTTCACATTTTCTTCTGCAGCTTTCTTAGTTGTCTCAGCCTCTGCAGAACTGAAGAGAATTAGGAACTTGCTCTGTATTAGACCTTGGCCTAAGGGAATGTTATTGCGGGTTTGAGCTTCTATCCAGACCACTAAAACTTTCTCCATATCAGCTAGAAGTCTGTTTCACTCTCTTGTCATTTGTGTGTGCAGTAGAGTAGCACTTTTTAATTTCCTTCAAGAACTTTTCCTTTGCATTGACAATTTGGCTAACTGTTTTGTACAAGAGGTCTAGCTGTTGGCCTATCTCTGCTTTCGATTGTCTTTTTCAACCAGCTTAATCATTTCTGGCTTTTGATTTAAAGTGAGAGGCATGTGACTCTCCTTTCACTTGTACACCTAGAGGCCTTTGTAGAGTTACTAACTGGCCTAATTTCAATACTGATATGTCTGAGAATAAGGAGGTCTGAGGAAAGGGAGAGAGACGGAGGAATGGCTGATCAGAGATGGAGGAATCGCTGATCAGCAGTCAGAACACACAAGACATTTACCGATTCCGTCCTACTTCTTATGTGGGTGTGGTCCATGGCACCCCCAAATAATGGCAATGGTTACGTCAAAGATCACTGGCCACAGATGAGCATAACAGATGTAATCATGATGACAAAGTTTGAAATGTTGTGAGAATTACCAAAATGTTACACAGAGATGTCAAATGGAGTATCCCTAACAGATATCTATAGAAAACTGCACCTCAAAATAGAACAAGATTCTTTTCAGCCATCCTTGGAATATTCCCCCAGACAGACCATATGCAAGGGCATAAAACAAACCTCAATGATATTCAACAGATGGAAATAACACAAAGTGTGTACTTCAATTACAAAGGAATGAAATTTGCGATGGAAAGAAGAAAAAATGGAGAAAACTCACATATTTTTGGTAATCAAACACCATCCTCCAAAATAACCAATGAATCAAAGAAGCAACAGAAACAAAAGATAAATGAAAGTGAAGATACAACTTTCCAAAACTTAAGGGACTCGGGGAGTGTAGGAAAAATGGTGGATAGGAGGCAGGACTAACTTGCAGTTCCCACTTGGACGGACAGAGCAGCCTTTGGAGACTCCCATCGTGAGCTTTTGCTCCAAGAACAACCACAGGAACATACCAGGAAAGCCGAGGTAGAGTGCTCACCTCTGCCTGAGCATGAAGCATGCTTCCGGACAAATTTATCGTGTATTTTCCCTACGGTAGCTGAGGCTCCCCATTTCCCCCACAATAGCTCAAGTTTATGGCCAGGCGGTCAAGGCCCAGGATGCTTCAGCCCCAGTGGACTCTCCTGCTTGCCTGACCTTCACTCTCTACTCTAGCAGTGCCTTTGCAGTTTGTATGGTTCTAGAATACACAAAATATTTTGTCTCTGTCCTTCATACTGATTGTTCCTTTTCACCAAATATGCTTTCTTCATTCTGCTTTTCCAGACTGAATTTTTTTCCTTCAATTGTCAGCCTGGTAAGACCTGCTCTAGCACCTGCTTAAGCGTCTCCTCCTCCTGACATCTCCCACCCCAGAGGTAACCACTCCAGTTTCTGCACTGTTTTGGGCCTTTGTATTCTTTTTCGGATTGACCCTTTGCACATTTTGCTTAACTATCCATTCTCTGCAAGACTGAGAGAGTCTCAAGGGTAGGGACATTACTCTGAATTCCTGCATCCTCAGGATCTTGCACAATGCCAGGCATAATGTAGAGATCAGTAAAACAAGGTTGAACTAAACTGTATAGAATAGTAGACATTTCATGCATTTGACATAAATGAATGGACAAGAGTCATGAGACCTGGCGCCTATGTATCGATGAAAATGTGGTTGCTTAGGGAACTAGCTGATGCCAGGGCAATGTGGAGCACGTTCTGCAAATTCAGTCTTGAACAGGATAAATTTGAAGTAGCAGCTGGGTAAGAAAATGTTGATGTGGGGACTGTGAGCAATGTAGAAGGTTAAAGTAAGTTGGAGCTACAAGCTTTAGTGGAGGTAGGATGGGGCAGGCAAGCATTTAGCAAATGAATGTGTTTTTTTAATTTTAATTTTATTTTATTTTATTTTTTTGACAGAGTCTCGCTCTGTCACCCAGGCTGTAGTGCAGTGGCGTGATCTCGGCTCACTGCAACCTCTGCCTCCCAGATTCAAACAATTCTCCTGCCTCAGCCTGCTGACTAGCTGGGACTACAGGCGCCCACTACCATGTCCAGCTAATTTTTGTATTTTTAGTAGAAACAGGGTTTCAACATGTTGGTCAGGTTGGTCTCGAACTCCAGGCCTCACGTGATCCTCCCACCTCAGCCTCCCACAGTGCTGGGATTACAGGTGTCAGCCACTGTGCCCAGCCATGAATGGACTTTTAAATCTCAATTTACAGATTTGATTTCCCTGATATCTAGGGTCAGTGGTATACTGAAAGGAAAGTTTGAGGCAGAAGTGTGGATTCAAATCCTAGATTAACGCATACAACGTTTCCCCCCACTCCACCCACCCCCGGCAAATAACTCCTCATTTCTGAGCACTTGGACAGAGAATGTGCTTACGTGCCTTATCTATATTAAGGTCTTTTATTTATCCCACACGCGGAACTATTTGGCTCTATGAGAGATGATTCCACCAAGAATTAGAAGAGCAATAATCTTTTTACAGTTACTCAGCTTGTAAAAGAATGGGGTCAGTATTTAACCCTCTTTACTGACTCAAAGCTGATGCCCCAACTACTCGACCGCGTGTTAAAGGACAGCAATAATGTCTACTTTATGCAACGTTAAGAGCTGAAATCCTGAATGTGGAAGGAGTTCTCTAGCTTGAAAGCTGATTTTAAATGGGAGGTGCTGTTATGGGGATGGCAAAGGGAGTCCTGTTTAACCATTTCCTCCAGCTTCTGTCTCCCAGCCCACTCCAGCAGGAAACTGTTCTCCATCCTGGACCTGGTTCTGCCCCCTACTCAGGCACCCTGGGATCCCTCAGTCCACCCTGGGGTCTGCAGGGAGTGGTCCAGGATGTCAGGGTTGGGACGTAATCGTGTCCGGACACTTGGTGCAGCTACATGGGAGACAGATGGGGGACATGTTATGATGGGCTTCCCATACAAAGGGATAAGCACTGCCTCGGTCAGAAACCAGGGGGCAAAGAGAGAGAGAGAGAAAAATAGGAGCCAGGCTGTCACCCAGAAGACTTAAGTACTGGGCCAGCGAAGGGCACTGGGAAGGAGGTGAACTCCCCGTCACAGAAGGGACTAGAACAGGCTGCACGATGCCATGGGCTGAGTGATCGTTTCAGAGCCAATTGGAGCATTTAGTGGAAGTAAGTGCTGGTTAAGGCCTTTTTTAGCAATAAGGTTCCAAATTACACATTCATGATGGAGTGGTCCTCTGGCATTTCAGTGAAAGTGGGAGTAACCCTGAGCACATGCTCCGGAGACTCTTTGTATCTACAGCTTCCCACATCTCTTATCTGTTAGTTGTCTTACGGCTCTAAGCACAAACGAGCCCGTTTATTTCCCACACTCCAGAACTTAACGTGCAGCCTTGATCCGAAGAGATCTGCGCAAAGTCAGAGCGATTTGACGGCAGAGATGAGCCCATGACCAAAGCTCTGCTTGCCTCTTAGAAAAGCGGTTACAATGAGAAAGAGGGAGCTGATGGGCTCATCCCTGAGATCACCCCAAGGCCCCTACGTGACCTGAGCATGAAAAGCAGCACCGTGGTGATTCCCTGCAGGGCCCCAATCCTGAGCACACTCGCCCACCACCTCTGTTTCTGCCATGGAGAGAAACGGCTTCCACCTTCTTAGACCCCAGAAGAAACTACTTCCTTCCCGCCTTCTGGGTGGGACATCTTCCCAACAGGAGAGAAGGTAGGAGGGAGGTGATGGGACTTCAGAAAACCAAGGCTGCCCAGAGGACTGGACACCTCTGCTCGCCCGCCCTAAAGGTATCATCTCCCACGCTGCAGTGAGCACTAGGATCACCTGCGATGCTCCAAGACAAAAAGCTGATTTTCCCGCCCCTTCTCGGAGGTGCTGGTTCTGTTCTGAGGACCAAGTTCTTTTTAGTGAGCCCCGAGTGATTCTGATCCTATGCTTTGGGAAACACTGCTCTCAGCCCAGAAGAGTCAGCGGGTTCTGAACGCTCGTGCGGTGTGAAGGCCGTAGAGACACAAACTCCTACGTAGCGCGGCCTGGGGGAGAGGACAGCGAGTGTGCGTGTGTTACAGAAAAGTGCTGCAAGCTTGCTGTTGGGACACTGGCCTTTGTGCCGCCTCTGTTGCTCCCCAGCTGTAGGACTTTGAGTTGGGCAGTCAGTCCCCCAGAGCCACCATGTGGGCATTCTTGTAGGTTGTGAGAATCACAGGCAGCAGGGCGGGTGCCAGTGAGCCCGTGAAAACTGCAGAGTGCCAAAAGGATTGGAGGAATTGTTATCTTACCTTAAACCCTTAGCAGTTAGATTATGAAGATGTGAGTATGTTTGCTTTTTGCATCCTTTAAAAGAAATCTTTGCTAAATCTTTGCCAATGTCCTTTTTTATATTTTCTGCTAAAAGATTTATTGTTTTACTATTCACATTTAGATTCACTATCAATTTAAAACTGATTTTTGTATCAGGTGAGGTATAGGTCAAGATATATTTTTTATCCCACAAATATGAGAGAAAATGGAGGAGAAGATAAGAGGGAAGAGGGAGAAGGAGCATGAGCCTGAGGCGGACGCACCTTACCCACTGCTCTGTGCTGCTCTCAGAGTTCACTGGTTCGGCTGCCTCCACGTTCCTGCTCTACAGGATGAAAATTCAGTAAGGACATAAGAGACTACAATGCATTATTTCCTGAATAGAACTTGCTGACTTGTCCTATTTGCTAAATGTAAAGAGCAGAGAACTTGTTACCTGCATCTTCAGTCCCTGCAAAAGAGGAGACAGAATTTGAGGCTCTTTATGCCCTGATGAGCCTGGGGGGATTTGAGAACTGATGTTGGGATCCCAGATTCACGATGGAAAGGACTAAACAGGGACTGTATCAGACCTTATCAGTTTTGGAGCGGCCCTGGAGATACAATCCCAAGGTAGCCTCTTGAGATGAACATGGATAATTGCTCCAATGTTATTATCTAGAGGCAAGGACCTTGAGAAATGAGTCTTGTTTACGAGAAGTAAACCAGCTCCTTACTGTGCAGCAATCCTAAAACACACGCTGGGAGTCAGTCAGGGATAAAGCAGATCTCATACATATTGCAGCCTGGCTTTGACTTATCAGAGGTCTGGAAAATCTGAAGTACTAAACTTCGATTAGGATGATCTAGACTTCTAGTGACCCCAAGTTTTAAGCAAAAGCAATTGAAAAAAAAATCCTATTCGGAGGAACAATGCCCCCTTGAGCTCAAATTACTTCTCTTAATACTTTTTCAAGCACAATATCCAACATACATCTGAAGATAAGACACACAAGGATGAAGGATTCCAACAGCAAGAACCAGCAGATGGGAGGCATATAGGGACTCCAGATAATATAATTATTAGACACAGATTAAAACAGTCATGCTTATGGTGTCTTAGAAAATAAAATGAAACCTGAAAATGTTGTCAGCGACTTTTACAAATGGAACAGTCATAATGAGTAACCAGCACTCAGATGAAAACACATTACTGGCCCTCCAGAAGTCACCTCATTTTCCTCTGTAGTCCCTGTTCCTACGCGGGTAATCAGTATCTTGACTCCTAATAGCATAAATTAGCTTTATTCATTTTTGTACTTTACATTAAATCATACAGTTTGTTCTCTTTTGTATCTGCTTCTTTCACTCAACCTTATATATGTGTGATTCAGCCACACTGTTGTATGTGGTTGTATATTATTGCTCATATTTATTGCTGTTTAACATTGTATTGTGTGAATGTACCATTTAATAAATGCATTTAACCATTGATAGACATTAGTAGCCAGTTGGGCGTGTTCTGAAAAGGGCAGATGCACGTTTCTGTTGGAAATACATACCTGGCTTTGAATTTCTGTAACCTAGGGCAGACTTTTGTGTAGTCAACAGGGCTAAACAGTTTTCCAAACACGTGTCTCCATTTTAATTTCCCCGCGCAGTGTATGAGGGTTCTGGTTGCTCCAAATTTTTTTTTTATTATTATACTTGTAAGTTTTAGGGTACATGTGCACAATGTGCAGGTTAGTTACATATGTATACGTGTGCCATGCTGGTGTGCTGCACCCATTAACTCGTCATTTAGCATTAGGTATATCTCCTATAAGTTGGTATCTGAAGATATTTTGGTGTGTGTGTAGTGGTATTGTTTATGGTTATAATTTGTATTTTCATGTTGAGTAATGCGGTTAAGTACTTTCTTACATGGCTGTTTGTCTATCTATCATCTCTCTTTGTCATCTGTCTACCATGTATCTTCTTGTGTAAATTACCCATTCAAGTATTTTGCTTATTTTTCTATCAGGTTATCTTTTTATGTTGGTTTGTATTTCCTTACATGTTTTGTGAGTCTTCGCAAATGCTTGTATTAGTTGGGGCAAAAGTGACTGCGGTTTTTGCCATTGCTTTTAATGGCAAAAACCGTAATTACTTTTGCCCCAACCTAATAGAAAGATTAAATGTGTCAAGTTTGTGGGTTGGCTTTTATGCAACTAATGGTGGCTTTTGAGAAACAGAAGATTTTAATTTTAATGTAGTCCAATTTATCAATTTTTGTTTCAGAATTATTGCTTTTTGCATCCTTTAAAAGTAATATTTGCCAATGTTCTTTTTTATGTTTTCTGCTAAAAGATGTATTGTTTTACCACTCACATTTAGATTTACCATCAATCTAAAACTGGTTTTTATGTCAGATGAGGTATAGGTCAAGATATATTTTTATCCTACAAATAGGAATCTCCAGCTGACCCAGTGCCATTTATTGAAAAGACCATCCTTTCCATACTGCATTGTTGTGTAAATGGTTTTTTCATATCTTTATTGAGGTATAACTAACAAATAAAAATTATTTAAGGTTTATATATGCTGTTTTGATATATGTAATATATATCTCTTGTAAATGATCAGCACAATCAAGCTAATTAGCATATCCATCATTTCACACAGTTACTGTTATTTTGGTGTGAGAATACACTAGATCTATTCTCTTTGCAAATTTTGACTATGTAACATAGTATTATTGGCTATAGACTGGGTGTGGTGGCTCAGGCCTGTAATCTTAGCACTTTAGGAGGCTAGGGCGGGAGGATTACTTGAGGCCAGCAGTTTGAGACCAGCCTAGGCAACATAGTGAGACCCCATCTCTAGAGAAATTAATAAATAATTAGGCATGGCCATGTGTGCCTGTAATCTTAGCTACTTGGGAGGCTAAGGTAGGAGAATTGCTTTAACCCAGGAGTTGGGGGCTACAGTGAACTATGATCCTGCCACTGCACTCCAGCTTGGGTGACAGAGCAAGACCTTGCCTCTAAAACACCACCACCACCACCAACAACAACAAACTGTAGTTACCGTGCTATATATTAGCTCTCCAGAACTTGCTCATAACTGGAAGTTTTTACCCTTTCACCAATGCTTCCCCAATTCATCCATGCCTGACCTCTGGTAACCACTCTTTTAGTCTGCTTCTGTGACCTATACTTTTAAAAAAATCTTTAGGCCAGGTGCGGTGGCTCACGCCTGTAATCCCAGCGCTTTGGGGGGCCGAGGCAGGCCGATCATGAGGTCAGGAGTTCAAGACCATCCTGGCTAACACGGTGAAACCCCATCTCTACTAAAATACAAAAAAAATTAGCCAGGCGTAGGTGGTGCACGGTAGTCCCAGCTACTCGGGAGGCTGAGGCAGGAGAATGGCGTAAAACCGGGAGGCGGAGCTTGCAGTTAGACGAGATCGCGCCACTGCACTCCAGCCTGGGAGACAGAGCGAGACTCCGTCTCAAAAAAAAAAAAATCTTTAATTTTTAATTTTTGTGAGTTCATAGTACATGTATATATTTATGGGGTACATGAGACGCTTTGATACAAGCAGGCAATGTATCATAATTACATCATGGAAAATGGGGTATCCGTTCCCTCAAGTATTTATCCTTTGTGTTACAAACAATCCAATTATACCCTTTTAGTTATTTTACAACGTACAATTAAATTATTATTGACTATAATCACCCTGTCCTGGGCCTTATTCATTCTGACGATTTTTTGTACCCATTAGCCATCTCCCCCCACCACTATCCTTCCCAGCCTCTGGTAAGGATCTTTCTACTCTCTAACTCTGAGCTATACGTCTTCAGATTCCACATATAGGTGAGGTCCTGCAGTTTTTGTCTTTCTTTGTGTGGCTTATTTTGCTTAGTATAATGTTCTCCAGGTTCATCCATATCACAAATAGCAGGATTTACTTCTTTTTATGACTAATATATTTGTGTGTGTGTTTGTGTGTGTGTATAAGGTCTATATGTCTGATTTTTATACATTGATTTTATATCCTGCAACTTTATTGAATTTGTTAATTCATTCTAACAGTTTATTTTGTGGTGTCTTTATGGGTTTCTACATATAAGATTATAAATAATTTTATTTTGTTCTGACTTGGATGTCTTTTTTTATCTTCTTTTTTTATTATTGTACTTTAAGTCCTGGGATACAAGTGCAGAACGGGCACATTTGTTACATAGGTATACACGTGCCATGGTGGTTTGCTGCACCCAACAACCCGTCGTCTACATTAGGTATTTCTTCTAATGCTATCCCTCCCCTAGTCCCCGACGCGCTGACAGGCCCCGGTGTGTGATGTTCCCCTCCCTGTGTCCACGTGTTCTCATTGTTCAGCTCCCACTTATGAGTGAGAACATGCGTTGTTTGGCTTTCCGTTCCTGTGTTAGTTGATGTCTTTTTGTTTGTTTGTTTCCTAATTGATCTGGCTAGGACTTCCAGTATTATGTTGAATAGAAGTGCCAACATAGCATCCTTGCTTTCTTCCAAATCTTAGAAGAAAAGCTCTCAGTTATCCTTTACTGAGAATGATGCTCACTGTGGGCTTTTCATATATGGCCTTTATTGTGTTGAGGTAAGTGACTTCTGTACCTAATTAGTTGAGAGTCTTCATCATGAAATGGTTTTGAATTTTGTCAAATGCCTTCTCTGCATTTATGGATATAATCATGTAGTTTTTATCCTTCATTCTGTTAGTGTGGTATGTTATATTGATTGATTTGTGTATGTCAAATCAACCTTGCATCCAGGGATAAATCCTACTTGGCTGTGGTGTATGATCCTTTATTGTGCTGTTGAATTTGGTTTGTTTATATTTTACTGAGTATTTGAATCTGTGTTCATAAGAGATATTGGTCTGTGTTTTCCTTTCTTGTGGTGTCTTTGTCTGGCTTGGGTATCAGAGTGATGCTGGTGTCATTAAATGAGTTTGGAAGTGTTTCCTACTATTATTTTTGGAAGAATTTAAGAAGTTTGGGTATTAATTCTTCTTTAGATATTTGGTAGAAATTACCTGTGAATCCATCCGTTCATGTTTCTTTTATCGTTTGAAAGTTTGTTTTTTAAATTACTGATTCAGTCTTCTTATTTGTTATTGGACTGTTCAGGCTTTCTACTTCTTATTCAGGTTGAAAGGTTGTGTGTTTCTAGAAATTTATCAGTTTCTTATAGGCTGTCCAATTAATTGGCTTGCAATTGTTTATAATAATTCTTTCTGACCTTCTTTAATTTCCATGGCCATAGATAATAGAAATTTCACCCCTTCTGATTTTGTTTGAGTATTTCTTATGTTAAAAATGATTCTAGCTAAGAGTTTGTTAATTTTTTCACATTTTTTCCCAAAAAACAATGTCTACTTTAGTCTATTTTTGTAATTATTTTCTGTTTCATTTATTTCTGCTCTATTCTTTATGATTTTCTTCCTTCTGCTAACTTTGGGTTTAATGTCTTATTTTTTACTTCCTTAAGTGTAAAGTTAGGTTGTTTATTTGAGATCTTTCTTCTTTCATAATGTAAGTTTCTCACTGTCAATTTCCCTCTTAGTACTGCATTTGCTGCAACTTGTAAGTTTTTGTATGTTGTGTTTATTTTCATTGTTTTCCCTGAAATATTTTTTAATTTTCTTTTTAATTTCTTCTTTGAGTCAATAGTTGTTCAGGAGTGTTTAAATTTCATATAATCTATAATTTTCCTATTGTTATTGAATTCATTTTTCATTTTTTAATAGCCAGAAATGGCACACAGAATGATTTCAATCTTCTTAAGTTTGTTAACAATTATTTTGTAACCTAGCATGTGATTTTTCTTGGAAAATGTTCCATGTCTGTTTTAGAAGAATGTGTTTTCTGCTGCTGTTGGGTGGAATGTTTTGTACATGTCTGACTCATACATTGGTTTATGGCATTGTTCAGATCTGGTGTTTCCTTATTGATCTTCTGTTCAGATTATAAATCCTTTATGGAAAGTCTCCTATTACTGTACTGCTTTTATGTATCCCTTAAAATCTGTCAATGTTTGCTTTATATAGTTAGGTGCTCTGATGTTTGGTACATGTATATTTATAATTGTTATATATTCCTATGGAATCAACCATTTTGTCACTATGTAATGACCTTCTTTGTTTCTTGTAACAGCTTTTGAATTAAAGTCCATTTTATCTGATGTAAGTATAGCCACCCTGCACACTTGGTGTATTTGTTTTGACACTGTTGTAAAGAACTACCTGAGACTGGGTAAAGACTAGGTAAGGAAGAGCTTTGATTGACTTACAATTCTGCATGGCTGGGGAGGCCTCAGGAAACTTACAATCATGGTGGAAGGCAAAGGGGAAGCAAGGCACATCTTACATGGCAGCAGGAGAGAGAGAAGGGGAGGGTGAAGTGCCACACTTTTAAACCATTGGATCTCATGAGAACTCACTCATTATCATGAGAACAGCATGGGGAAAATCTGCCTCCGTGATCCAATCACCTCATACCAGTTCCCTCCCCTGACATGTGGGGATTACAATTCCAGGTAACATTTGGGTGGGATACAGAGCCATATCGTATTATTCCAACCCTTCTCCTCCCAAAATTCATGTTCTTCTCACATTTCAAAACCAATCATGCCTTCCCAATAGTCTCCCAAAGTCTGAACTCATTCAGGCATTCAAAAGTTCCAGTCCAAAATCTCATCTGGGACAAGGCAAGTCCCTTCTGCCTACTACCCTGTAAAATAAAAAACAGGTTAGTTACTTTGATGCTTCGAAGATACAATGGGGATATAGGAATTGGGTAAATGCTCCCATTCCAAGAGGGAGAAATTGACCAAAACCAAGGGGCTACAGCCCTCATGCAAGTCCAAAACCCAGCAGGGCAGCCATTAAATCTTAAATCTCCAAAATAATCTCCTTTGACTCCATGTCTCACATCCAGGGCACACTGATGCAAGAGGTGGGCTCCCAAGGCCTTGGGCAGCTCCACCCCTGTGGCTCTGCAGGGTACATACAGCCCCTGCAACTTCTTTCATGGGCTGGCATTGAGTGCCTGTGGCTTTTCCAGGCACCTAGTGCAAGCTGTTGGTGGATCTACCATTTTGGGGGCTGGAGGATGGTGGCCCTCTTCTCACAGCTCCACTAGGCGGTTCTCCTATGGGGGGCTCCAGCCCCACTGCATTGCCCTAGTAGAGGTTCTCCATGAGGGCTCTGCTTTTGCCACAGACTTCTGCCTGGAAATCCAGGCATTTCCATACATCCTCTGGAACCTAGGCTGAGATTCCCAAACCTCAACTCTTGTCTTCTGCATACTTGCAGGCCCAACACCATGTGGAAACCACCAGTGTTTAGGACTTGTACCCTCTGAAGCAATGGCCTGAGCTTTACCTTGGCCCCTTTTAGCCATGGCTGGAGCTGGAGTGGCTGGGATGCAGGGTGCCATGTCCCATGGCTGCATTGAGTCTTCTAGTCTTCCATGCCTGTGATTGAAGGGGCTGCTGTGAAGGTCTCTGAAATGCCCTGGAGACATTTTCCCCATTGTCTTGACTATTAACATTTGGCTCCTTGTTACATATGCAAATTTCTGCAGCCAGTTTGAATTTCTCCCCAGAAAATGGGTTTTTCTTTTCTACTGCATGGCCAGACTGCAAATTTTCCACACTTTTATGTTCTGCTTCTCTTTTAAACATAAGTTCCAATTTCAGATAATCTCTTTGTGAATGCATATGACTATAGGCTTTTAGAAACAGCCAGGTCACATCTTGAATGCTTTGCTGCTTAGAAATGTCGTCCACCAGATAACCTAAATAATCTCTCTCAAGTTCAAAGTTCCACGGATCTTTAGGGTGGTGCAAAATGCCTCCAGTGTCTTTGCTAATGCATAGCAAGAATCACCTTTACCGTAGTTCACAATAAGTTCCTCATCTCCATCTGAGACCACCTCAGCCTGGACTTCATTGTCCATATCACTTTCAGCATTTTGTTCAAAACTATTCAACAAGTCTCTAGGAAGTTCCAAACTTTCCTACATCTTCCTGTCTTCTGAGTCCTCCAAACTGTTCCAACCTCTTCCTGTTACCCAGTTCCAAAGTTGCTTCTACATTTTCAAGTATCTTTATAGAGGTACCCTAATCCACTGATAACGATTTTCTGTATTAGTCCATTCTCACACTGCATAAAAACTACCTGAGACTGGATAATGTATATAAAAAAAAGAGGTTTAATTGACTCCATTTCTGCATAGCTGGGGAAGCATTCAGGAAACTTATAATCATGGCAGAAAGTGAAAGGGAAGCAAGGTACATCTTACTTGGCAGCAGGAGACAGAGGGGCAGTGGGACGTGCCACACTTCTGAACAATCAGATCTCATGAGAACGAACTCACTATCATGAGGACAACATGAGGAAAATCTGCTACCATGATCCAATCACCTCCCACCAGGTTCCTCCCCTGACACATGAAGGTTACAATTTGAAATGAGATTTGGGTGGAGACACAGAGCCAAACCACATCACTTGGTTACAATTTGCATAGAATGTATTTTTTCTTCCCTTTACTTTCAGTTTCTTTGTGTCCTTAAATTTAAAGTTTGTGTCTTCTAGAAAGCACATAGTTGGATCATGTATTTTAATTCATTTAGCTGCTGTATATATTTTGAATAATGAGTGTAATTTGCTTATACTTGAAGTAATTATTGATAGGCAAACACTATGGTCAATTTGTGATTGTGTTCTGTCTTTTTTGTCAGTCTTTTGTTTCTCTCTTTCTCAGAGAAACACCTCCCTTCTTTGTTTGTATCTGACCACAGGGAGTTAACCTTGCCATTACCCCACTATGATCTCTGTGAGGTGAGACTGGAGTGGGCATCCTAACAGGTGTCTTGGAATGCTGGGAAAGCTGGATGTCCATCTCTTGTTGTATTCTTTGTGGTTTGATGATTTTGTAAAATAGTGATATACTTTGATCCTTTTCTCTTTGTTTTTAAAAGTTACTTTTATTTATTTATTTATTTTAAGAGGCAGGGTTTCATTCTGTTGCCCGGGCTGGATTGCAGTGGCATGATCCTAGCTTACTGCAGTCTCCAACTCCTTGGCTCAAGTGATCCTCCCACTTCAGCTTCCTGAGTGGCTGAGACTACAGGTTCATGCCACCATGCCCTGTCAGTCTTATTTTTTGATTGTACAATGGCTTTTTCCTTGTGATTACCATGAGGTTTGGATAAAAATTCTTACAACAGTCTGTTTGAAGCCGATAACAACTTATCTACATAGAAAAACTCCATACATTATCTTCACACTTGGACACAGGAAGGGGAACATCACACACCAGGGCCTGTTGTGGGGTGGGGAATAATAATAATAATAATATATATGATATATTATATAATATATAATAATATATAATGTATTATATAATATATAATAATATATAATGTATTATATAATATATAATAATATATAATATATTATATAATATATAATAATATATAATATATTATATAATATATAATAATATATTATATAATATATTATATAATATATAATAATATATAATATATTATATAATATATAATAATATATAATATATTATATAATATATAATAATATATATAATATATAATAATAATATATATATTATATAATATATAATAATAATTCAACAACAGTATTTGGAGAATTCAACATACCACTTTCAATAATGGATAGAACAACTAGACAGAAGATCAACAAGGAAATAAAGACTTGATCCACACTGTAAATTAACTGCGCCTAACAGATGTCTATGTAACGCTCTGCCCAACAACAAAAGAAGAAAGTTATTTTCAAGTGTCATGGGAACATTCTCTATGATAGACCATATGCTAGACCACAAAATAAACCTCAATGACATTAAAAGGCTAGAAAAAATACAAAGTATGTTTTCCTGCTACAATGGAATGAAATTAGCAATGAATAGTAGAAAAAATTGAAAAACTTGTTTCATTTCCATATGTTACTTCATTTCCATATTGTGGAGGATAATATACTTCCAAGAAGGTTCTTCGAGGAATTTATCCATATCTGCTAAATGTTCTAGTTTCTGCGCATAGAGGTGTTCACAGTAGTCTCGAATGATCTTTTCTATTTCTGTGGGTGTCCATTTTGACTTAAACTTTTTTTAAGAGATGGGGTCTTGCTATGTTGCTCAGGCTGGTCTTGAACTCTTGGTCTCAAGCAGCTCTCCTACCCCAGCCTCCCAAAGTGCGGAGATAACAGGCATGAGCCACCAGGTCAACGTAAATTCTATTTTCTTAGAATTAAGAATATCTTAAACCCAATTTTATAATTTTTGAAAATAAGAAAGTGATCGCCATTCTAACTGGTGTGAGATGGTATCTCATTGTGGTTTTGATTTGCATTTCTCTGATGGCCAGTTTTGTAGTGTAAGTAGTTGTTATATATATAGCATCTAGCAAAAGGCAGTTGGAGCAATAAATGAGATTATGCAAATACAGAGCTTCTACATTTTACATGAGGTGGTGTGATATTAACTGTAAATGGACTGTGAGAAGCTAAGCATGTATATTGAAATCCTACAAGCATGAATGAAAACAGAAGATAAAGGGGAATAACTTAAAAAGCAATAAATAAATAGGAATCATAAAAAGAACCATTACCATGGCTGGAGTGTCCCCTCTGCTTGTTAAAGTTCTAGCCATGTTTCCTGCAGGTGCACAAATCCTGGCTTCCTTAGGTATCTCTCCTCATTATTCTATATTCCCTCTACAGGCCAGCTGTGGAGTCAGAGGAAGAGCATTCAGCATGAGGAAAACTGGGCTCAAATACAAGATCTGCATTTTTCTAATTGAAAGACATGGGCTAAATCACTTCATCTTTGAGAGATGTGACTTCTTCATCTGGAAGGAGGGCTATTGCCATCTGTGCCACAGGACTATTTTGAAAATTCAGAGACAATAATATATGTGATAGACGAAATGCACACGCCCACATGCATATGTACATTTCATATGTAATGAAATGGCTACTTTCTCTGAACCTACGTGGCACATTAACTTCTTTTGTAGCATTTACCACTTTTCCTTGTTTCATTTTTTTCAAAGCAAGTATTTGAGTGCTCAGTAGTGCAGGACAATACACTGTGCTATGTCCCTTGACTGATATAAAAGGGAGAGAGACACATAGTTTGACTTGGAGGACCATCAAGTCTTGACTGTACAAGTGTCTTCCTTCCCCAGCTGGAATCCTCATTCTCCATCCTGGCTCCCTTTCTTGAAGTTTAGTCATTCTGCAAGTCTCTTTGTTGAAAACTTGACTTATCAGCTCCCCTCTGATCCATGTTCTGTTAATTTTGCTCCAAAGCTTTGTATCTTCATTCTACTATTTAATCCAATACATCCACAAGAGTCACTGGAACACTAAAAACACACCCAAAATGGAACTTTTTTTTTTTTTCTTAAATTGCTGTTTTGTTCACTACTGTCATTAAGGGCATCTTTTTCCTTTTAGTGACTCGAACTCAAAATCTTCTAGACATCTTATTGCTATCATAATAATTCATTCTATGGTTTCTATTTCCACACTACGTTTGCATCTGGATCGTAGATGCAAAGAAGGATACCTTCTTATATAGTATCTATCCTCTTTGGTACTTATTATTTCACCATGGGCAATAAACACCTAATTCCATTTGATCTTACTGAGTTTATCCGTAACAGCAAAATTAGTCTTGTATTCATTTTGTATCTTCACTCTCTCTTCCCTAGATTGCTTTAAGAGATGTGTAATTAAACTCCTGATCTCATCACTCTCCCCTCCTCCCTTACTGCTCTCTTATCTATCCATTCTTGATTAAAGAGAAGCTCTCTTCATTGTTTCATTCAGAGCTTTTATCTATGTATCTATGTAACTATCAATCAATCATAATTTCATGAACACCCTGGACTCACCACTTAATCTGAATATTAGGACTGTAGTAATAACCTACATCTAACTATGTGATAACCCTAGTTCTATTCCCCCATTTCTCCTTTTGAATTTTCTCTTATCCTGAATCCTGTGGTCATTCTTTCTTTGCTTTTGTTTTTGTTTATTATTATTATTATTTATTAGTGACTGTCTTAGTAAGATTTTAGGAGGAGTTGTATTATCTTTAGATATAGTCTAAACTATGAAGTAAGCACAGAAATATTTCCCCAGGTCAGTTTCTTTTTTTTATTATTATACTTTTAATTCTGGGGTACATGTGCAGAACATGCAGGTTTGTTACATAGGTATACACGTGCCATGGTGGTTTGCTGCATCCATCAGCCTGACATCTGCATTAGGTATTTCTCCTAATGCTATCCCTCCTCTTGCCCCCAACCCGCTGACAGGCCCTGGTGTGTGATGTGCCCTTCCTTGTGTCCATGTGTTCTCATTGTTTAACTCACACTTATGAGTGAGAACGTGCAGTGTTTGGTTTTCTTTTCTTGTGTTAGTTTGCTGAGAATGATGGTTTCCAGCTTGATCCATGTCCCTGCAAAGGACATGAACTCATCCTTTTTTATGACTGCGTAGTATTCCATGGTGTATATGTGCCACATTTTCTTCATCCAGTCTATCATTGATGGGCATTTGGGTTGGTTCCAAGTCTTTGCTACTGTGAACAGTGCCACAATAAATATACTTGTGCATGTGTCTTTATAGTAGAATGATTTATAATCCTTTAGGTATATACCCAGTAATGGGATCACTGGATCAAATGGTATTTGT